>NC_000021.9:6427258-6580181 GCF_000001405.40 Homo sapiens | reverse complement strand
GATCATATTTTCAGAGGTGTCCTTGATCCTCCAAACCCACCCCAGTCCATTATGTCACAGAAGAAGAAACCGAGGTCCAGGGAGGCCTCAGTGAGTCAGGGGCTAAGCAGAGGCGGAAACCTCTTGACTCCTGCTCCGAGCCGAGCACATGAGCCTGTGACTCAGGGCCCAGTCCCTGCTGAGGAGCCTCCAGCTGCCGCCTCAGGCCTGTCTGGACTCCCTAGGAGACCTGCACTGTATCTGCACACTGTCTTGCAGTAAAGGTTCCCAGGCACTGACCGCATCGGCACTGCCAGGAATCCTGGGCAGCAGCCCCAGCAGACCCCAGGGCTGGCCTGAGTGTCCTGTGGAGCCAAGCCCTGGGCCCAACACCATCCATGGGGCTTCAACTGCTCAGCTAGCTATGGTGCACGTGGCACAAGACCCATAACAGCAGGACCCACGGCAGCCCTCAGAGCGGTGGCCAGGGGATGGGCGGGCAGGAAAATGGAGCCACGGAAGGATGAGGCCAAGGACCAACCCAGTCAATAAAACCAGAGACCTGCACAGAGCCAGCACCAGCTGCACCCGAGGCCACAAGAAAAGAGCCCCCAGCACGGGGAGAATTCATGGAGCTCATGAATATTTTAATAGGGCTTTACAGAAAACAGTCCTGGGTACCTGATTCCCAGGTGTCTAATTGCTAGAGTGGCTGCGTAATGACCAGCAGGGTATGGAGGCCTGGGGCAGACCCAGTCTTGAAAGAACGGTTGGCTCCTGCTTTGGAAACAGAAGCCTCTGCTGAATTCCACCCTGCCACTGGCCCAGGGGCCTCAGCCTCTGGAGTCCATCTGCTGAGTGTGGAAGGGTGACAATGACACCTGCCTCCTGCTCCTCCACACCTGGCCCATGGGCCGCATTCAAGATCAGTGAGTGTCGGGCCCAGTCCCCTCTCCTCTCGCTCCACCTCCTCCTCACAGGGCACCTGTGAGTGGGGCCGCAGGACCCTGCGGGGGTAGCAGAGGGTTCGGATGCTGAGCAGGGAATCACCTGCCGCCACGTGGCTGATCCAATGCAATCATTCTATCAGAATCCCTGGACTATACAGGGCCAGGCCCTCAGCCAACCTGAGGGTAAGCCATCACAAGCACCTGCTGTTGGGTGACCTGCAACCGGTTATGTCACTCTGGTGGACGGGAGTCCCACCAGGACCAAGTGAGACACATTCAGCTGTGGGTTACAGAAAGACCAACCCCAACTGGCTTTTGCAAAACCAGAAAAATCCAGAGATGGTTGGACGTGGTTCCCTTTCTCAGGGGTTTCCCCAGCTCTGCCATCTTCCCTGCATGGGCTTTGCCTGGAGGCTGCCACAGCCCAGGTCTGTGCATGACCATGTCAGACCAGGAGGGAGAAAGGTCACCTTGCCCACGCTCTCTGTGGGAGGGGAAGCCTCTTCCCAGAGCTGCACTCACTGTTCCTGCAGCTCGGCGGTCGGGACAGATCGCCCAACCTGAGTCGGCCTCCATCTAGGGAAACACCAGGTGCGGACTGCAGGGAGCACCCATCCCTGAACCCACAGTCAGAACAGACTCAATCCCAAAGCAGCGCAGCTACCCCACAGCTGGAGACAGGAGGCCGGGGACATGATCACGAAGCTCACGTCGGAACAGCATGGACCAAACGATGGTTTCGGCCACATCCCAGTTCCCAGATGTTCCAGACAACCCTCGCATGCGAGACCATCTTGCCTTTGGTGTTCAGATCTCACACATCTGGGTCTGTGCATTTACAGATGCCCTCCCTGGCCCTTAGGAAAGGCTGGCTCAGCCCACAGCGTGCCCCTGGGGTGGTGGCCCCTCCACCCACCTGACTTGGGCACTGCTGTCCTCTTTTGCAGGTTGCATCTCAGCCTCTCGAGGTCAGCCTCCTTCTCCTTGCCTTGCCTCTCTGTCCCATCCCAGGGCATGGAGCCCTCCCTCAGATCCCTCCCAGGGATGTAACAGGCACCAGGCCTCCCTGAAAGTTTGGGGCCCTTGAAGGGAACTTGATGTGAGCAACCCCTGCTTTCCATGGGGGCTCAGCCTCCTCCTGCCCCAGGAGTGACCTCACCCACAGCAGTGAGAGAGCCCTGAGCATGGCTCTCCCACTCCAAGTCCAGGCTTCAACTACTCAAGAGACAGCCAACATCTGCCTCTAGGTCTTCATTCCCTGCCCAAATATACCTCTTTGGAGCACGATTGGTTGGGCAGATATTCAAGGACATTTGCAAAACATTCCCATCCACAGCCAGGTGAGCTTTCCCTTTGACCCCCATTAAGAACACAGAATTCTCCAGGCATGGTGGCACATGCCTGCAATCCCAGCTACTCAGGAGGCTGAGGCAGGAGAGTTGCTTGAACCTGAGAGGCAGAAGAGCTGAGATCACACCACTGCACTCCAGCTTGGGCGATAGAGCAAGACTCTGTCTCAAAAACACAAACAAACAAACAAAAAGAACACAGAACAAGAAAGGCCAGCATTCAGCATTCACACATTCCCCAAGGTCTGTCCTCATTCTATCCCTTTATTCTCCTCTCCTATCTTGCTTTGCATTGATTAAAAGTTTTGTAAAATTCCTTTATTCCATCTATTTTGAAAAGTATCTTTTTAAATTTTAGCAGGCATTGCTAACTTAAAGTCTAAATATCTCTACAGAATAGCACAAAATCCTGGTCATCTTTAAATCCCACCTGACCAATGTTTTAGATCACTTTAAAAGCCATCAAATAGAAGTCCTTTGGTATGTATCTTTTGTATGCTGTTGGTGAACTTCTGGTTTTTGTGTATCTGAAACATCTTTATTTTGCTATCATTCTCGAGTGATAGTTTAGCTGGGTATGTAGGGGACTGATTGTTCTCTCAGCAGTTTGAATATAGTATCCTTCTGTCTTCTGACTATATAATTAACAATGACTTTACTTCAGCACATAGAAAAACTTACTCTATCCCAGGGTTTCTGATGAAAAGCTCAAGGTGCTTATCACATGAACTCCAAACTTGGTCTTTCCGGGACTAGCCAGATGCTGAAATGTCTGCCCAGCTCTCAGCCTCCAGCTGTTCCTGCTTTCTGGGCTTTCTGGAGTCTTGGCTTGCACATGCAAACTTTAGTTATCAGCCAAGGGTTTCAGGGAAATTTGTGCTAGATTTAGGAGCTCCCCTCTCTGTGGCTCCCTTTTTTTGTTGTTGTTTTTTGGCAGCCTTGAACTCTGGCCTCTGACCTCTCAGCCCAACAAAACTACTGTTCCACTTCAGCTCCATTCCATATGGGGCGGTCTGAAGAAGGATCTGAGAACAAAACCCAGATAAGCATGGCTCCCTTTTTTGCAAGGGTCATACCTCTTTAGCTTGAGTTTTTTTTTTTTTTCATGCTTTATGTCACTTTCCAATGCCTTCAAATAATGGTTGTTTCTATTTTGTCCAGAGTTTATAATCAGCAGGAAGGTTAGCAAAACTATCATTTTCCAAGAAACTGGAAGTCCTTGGTCAAGTTGGTTTAACCTGAAATGGTAGCACATAGGGGGTTATAAATTCATCAGAGGGGAGACGGTACCCGCCATGGCACAGCTTCGAGACCAACGGCAGCTTCCCTCCATGTGTTCTCTCCCAGCCTTTTGTTGCTTCCTTCTCATTAACCCATGCTTGGAAAGAACGGGTACCTCTTCCAGGTAGTGAGGAAAGAAATATCTGATGTAAAGAAAACATAACCCACGGAGACACGGAGAAAACATAACCCACGGAGACACGGATCTGCTAAAACCCACCCACAGTTTACACCACTAAAGGCTTCCAGCCAGGGGCAGTGGCTCACACCTGTAATCCCAGCAATTTGGGAGGCCGAGGCAGGTGGATCACCTGAGGTCAAGAGTTCGAAACCGGCCTGACCAATATGGTGAATCCCTGTCTCTAATAAAAACACAAAACATCAGCCAGGCATGGTGGCGTGCACCTGTAGTCCCAGCTACTCAAGAGTCTGAGACAAGAGAATCGCTTGAACCTGGGAGGTGAAGGTTGCAGTGAGCTGAGATTGCACCACTGTACTCCAGCCTGGGCGACAGAGTGAGACTCTGCCTCAAAAAGAATTAAAAAAAAATAAAACAATATAAATCTTCCAGGTCTTCCAAGAACAGAAACATGTCCCCCGGCTACACATGTGCAGAACCATGGACGTCCCAGAGTGAGCAGACAGTCATCCCCAAATGCAAACATGAATCTGTTCTGTGCAGAAGCTGCCTCCAGCTTTGAAGTAGTGGTTTCTTGTGTCTCCTCATCAAGGATTTGCAGCGACTTGGGCTCCAGTCTCCCCCAGGTTCCCATATTTCCCGAGTTGTCTGTTTTAGCTGTGCTGATGACACGTCGGCCTCTCCAACCACGGCAGTGGCCTTGGAGGACAATTCAAAACCATCAGGCCCTTAAGGACAGGATGCAGATCTCAGCAGGCCCCGTATCCTTTCTCACCGCTGTTGCCATTGTTGTTTCAACCTCTACTTATGTGCCGCAGCATAGCAGACTTGGAAAACGACGGAGACTGTTCCATGTATTCTTGTTAATTAGCTACACTGATTTTTATGTGACTTTTTTTCCACTTTCAAATTCCATCCCAGGGGGAAAAAAGTTTCTTGGATCCAGTCCAGCCCTCCTCTGGTGAGATGGTTAACATCTCCACCCCCACAGCCCTGCTCGTGACAGGTGCACACAGGCACAGCCCAGCCCAGGAGGTCACTATCTGATACCTTCCCAAAGGTGCACACCTGCGGGGACTCGGGGAAGAGCAGCTTGTTGGCATCTCTGGAAACAAGTGTGAACCACGGAGCTGAGTTCGATTCTGAAATCAAAGGGCAAACAGATAATGACGTTGTCCCAGGGAGACCGGCCATGCTTCAGCCAGGCCTCCATGCACCAGGGGTACCTTCCTGCCACCCAGTCGTTCAGAGATAGCCTCCAATGCCCCACCCAGGAACCCACCTGCATGGAATCAGGCGAGCTCATCCCTCCAGATGCTGCTGTGTGCAAACGGCGACCTTGAGAGAAAGGGCAGAAGGGGAAGTCAAAACACAAGACGGCAGAAGACAAAATCCTCGCGGCTGATGGAGTGAAGAAGGATGCACCAAAAACTATGAGAATCAGCAACACGAGGGCCACATCCATGCCGTGAATGAAGTGCCCCGGGCGTGCAGAGGAAGTCGTGAGACTACAGAGGCCGCGGTGGCATGGGATGGCTCCTGACCCGCTCCAAATGACAAGCGCCGCTTCCACTGCTCCCACTGGGTAACCTAGACATGCCTTTGTCTTGGTCATTGCACTCAGCCTGGCCTCATGTGACCACTGGGTCTTCTCTGCTGGTTCATCCCTATGGTATGGTCACTCACAATTGGTAACAACTGCAGCCCGTCCAGGTGGAATTGGTGTGGTTAAGACATCACCACGCACGCGCCATACACAAATGGAGGCCAACGATTGCTTCTTCAGCATGCATGACCCGGTTCAGGGCCTGACCACTCACCTCCAGCAGGTTTAGACAAATCAACCCTCCCTCCCAGCTCAAAATATTTTTGGTTTCTATATTCCAGTCTATGTTCATCAAAGATGACCGAGGAGCGTCTGTGGACTCAGCACGAAAAAGCTGTCTGACTTTCACCTATTCAGCAGAGAAACTGGCAGGGAAGTATCTTTTCTTCTCTTTTTCAGGCAGCCTCAGAAAACTAGAAAACGTAGCTGAAATAATTCCCCCTTTAAAACCCACCCTGGTGGCGAGCCCACTGTCTTAATTTGACTGCCTCAATAATTAGTCAAACGATATGGGTGCTCCCCCTCGCCGGCGAGCCTCATCTCCACCCGCTTGCGTGCTAATTTGCCAAAAAGCTCCAACTACATTTGCATATTTTTCCATCTAATTTAGCCTGATCACAATTTAGAGCAGGTGCAGCTCCAGCAGGCAGCTTGAGCAATCAGCCAGGCCCCGGTGGGCTGCGCGGGAACTCATTTAAAGGGCCCCTGCCTGTCGGGGCTGGCACAAACCATGCTGCAAGCCCATTCCACACACAGAGGGGCAAGCTCGTGGACTGTGTTGGTTGTCCCCATCAACATTGCCACTTAATGGGCACTACGCACTCAGGACCCCTGAAGAACTGCAAGGGTGCCAGGGAATGCCCTCTGCCCTTCATGAGCTCAGGCCTGGGACACCTGAGTGGCCACAAGGCCAGGGTACACATGTGCTGAGCCGTCTGGGGGCCCTGGGGCCACTGCCCAGCTGTGACCAGCAGCAGAGCCTTGATAGCAGCTGCCAGCCCACCCACATCCCCTCGGCGGCAGCCCGCGCCTAGCAGGGCCCAAGGAGGCCCTGGAGTCAGCACAGGAGGAGAACCGGGTAAGCTGGAAGTTCAGCAAATGCCTCGAGGCCAGGCGGAGGCACAGTCGCACTCAGCACTGGCATCTGTGAGCCGCCTGTGTTCACACGTCTTGCATTTAGCGCTCACGGGCATCACCCAGCTGCCAGAAGAGCCTGCCTGCCGTGCCCCCACCCAGAACCCAGGCTTCCCACTGCTCTGCCCACCTGCCAAAGAAGATGGTCCCTGAGACCCCCTTCCCCGAGGGTATTCTGGACAGAACCCCTCACCCTGGCCACTGTGCACGTCCAGACCTGGGCTAACACGGGAGTGGATGCATATCAGGAGTCACAGCATGGAGTGGCAGCAGCTCCAGCAGATGAAAGGTCACCCCTGGGATGCCTCTGATGAGGACGGGGACCCGCCATGGGCAGCCCCAAAATACAAAGTCTCCTATCCAGTTCCAACCACGGCCTGCCCTGGCTGACACTGGACATTTGCCACCAGGGGCCCACAAACGTGGGTAAGTTCCCTGCAGAAACCAAGTACCTGGGCTCAGCCCACTCACAGGGACACACACACACACATCTACACACAGCCACTCACAGGGACACCACACTCATACACACACACACCTACACACAATCACTCACAGGGACACCCACACTCATACACACACACTCACACACACAGCCACTCACAGGGACACCCACACTCATACAAACACACTCACACACACAGCCACTCACAGGGACACCACACTCATACACACATACACCTACACACACAGGGACACCCACACTCATACACACACACACCTACACATAATCACTCACAGGGACACCCACACTCACACACACACCTACACACAATCACTCACAGGGACACCACACTCATACACACACATCTACACACAATCACTCACAGGGACACCCACACTCACACACTCACAGGGACAGCCACACTCCCACACACACACATAACCCCCTCACAGAGTCATACACACACCCACACACAAAACCACTCACAGGGACACCCGCACTCACAACCACTCACAAGGACACACACACACCCACTCACACACACCCATACACAAACCCAGAGACCCCCCCCACACACACACACACAACCACTCATGAGGACACCCACACACACACACACAGGGACAGCCGCACTTACACACACATACACAGGGATGGACACACACACAAACCACTAATGAGGACACCCACACTCACACCAATCACACACTCTCACAAGGATACCCACACTCACATACAGGGACAGACACACTTACACACATACACAGGGACAGACACACACACACACAACCACTCAGGGACATTCACACTCATACCCACTCACACACGTTCACAGGGACACCCATACTCGTAACACACTCACACATGCACACATACACATTCACTCACACACAGGGACACACACACACATGCTGTTACACACAGGGACTCACACACATTCATTCACACAGGGACACACACATGCTCATACCCATGCACAGGGACTCACACACACATGCTCACTTACACCCATTCACAGGGGACTCACTCACAGGGACACACTCACATATGTATGTGGAACCTCATACGCACACACTCACACTCACCCCCACTCACAGGGACACCCACACTCACACATTCTCACACATACACACCCACGGGGACACACATGCGCAATGAATATCAAAAACAGTCCCGCCAACCTCAGAGGTTCCTGAGAGGAACGTGTACAATGGCGTATGTGAAGCGTCCCCAAATGCAAGGACACAGGATCTCAGGGACGTCATCCATACTTGTCATGGGTGGAACAGTGTCCCCCAAAACATGTGTCTAAGTTCCAAACCCCAGAACCTGGGCATGTGACCTTATTTGGAAACAGAATCTTTGCAGATGTAATTCAGTGAAGCATCAAGGTGAGATCGTCCTGGATGAGAGCAGACCCTAAACCCAATGGCTGATGTCCTTTAAGGGGAAAGGACACAGACGGGAGGGGAAGGCGGAGGCAGAGACTGGAGCTCAGAGGCTTCCAGCAACCGGGAATGCTGGAGGAGGTAAGGAAGATTCACCCCAGAGCCTCCAGAGGGAACACGGCCCTGCAGATACCTTGATTTCGGACTTCGTGCCTCAGAGTGAATTTCTGTTGTTTTAAGCCAACCAGCTTGTGGTCGTTTGTCACAGCAGCCGTGGGAAATTCCCCACAGCACTGCTGGATTCCAGCTGGTTCATTGCAGAAACACCCTTTCCGACAGCCACAGGCAGGGGCAGGCAGGAAGAGTGAGCAAGGGGGCTCAGGGGGAGAGCCGGGGCTCCCCGCTTGGCTCCTGGCACAGGCCACATGGCTGCAGGCCACTTACTTAATTGGGTTTCTCATCACCGAGCAGGTAAGAGCACTGCAGCTGCCAGCAGGACCCCTGAGCCAGCTCCTGTGTGGAGTGCAGCCCAGCCCCGTACAATCAAAGGCCCAGCACTTGGCCATTACCGGCTGTCAGAAATAAGTCAGCCACCAGCTCCTCCAAGGGCAGCCGCTGCCTTTTATCACCATCAGAGAGCCACTGCCAGGGTCATCGTGGGGTCTCAGTGTTCCTGCGAACGGCAGATGGGATTTGGCGTGTCCTGCCTTCCCACCCCAGTCCTCTAGGTCTGACGTGTCTTCCCCAGGGGGCGCCCTGTCCCCTCAACAGCCAGCCATCTGCAATTCTGCGTCAGGGCCTTCGGGAGCCCTGCTCGGAGACCCACACTGCTCTGGAAAGCAAGATTTTCCAGCCAGGATGCTTTGGAAATTGATTTCTCTCACTCCTGGCCAAGGTAAAGGCACAGCGCTCACAGGCTCCCGGGGCAGACAGCTCTGCAGAATAATGAGCCACCCCCTCTCTTCACTGCCCCTCCTTCCCGGTGCCCCTGGGGCGTCCTTGAGCTGCCACACGGCCCCTCCCTCATACCCGCTCCTCCCTCGTGCCGTCTCTGACGTCTCTGCAGGTGGCACGAGGAATGCCAGGGCCCAGGCAGCTAGATGTCAAAGAGGCTGCTGAGCAGCACACAGGAGGGGGCTCCCCTAAGCTGGAGGGTGGAAAGGGGTCTCTCACGGTCAAGTACAAATCAGACACAGAGGGCAGCCGCGCAATGAAGTAACAGCCCAGAGCTTGGCCATGGCCATGATAGTGGTGTGTGCGTCTTCCTGTGGGCTGTGTGAGTGTATGTTTGTGTAGGTGTGCATGTGGGCATTTGTGCACGCGTAGGTGTTATGTGCTTCTGTGTGTCCGTGTGTGTCCACATGTATTGTGTGATGTGTGTACATGTGTTTGTATGTTGCATGTGTGTTTGTGTTGTGCATTTGTGCGCACATGTGTGAGGTGTGTGAGCATGTGTTTTGTGTGTTGTGCACGAGTGTGCATGGTGTGTTGTGCATGGGTGCACACTGTGCAAACATTGTGCTTCTATGTGCATGTGTGTTCTGTGCATATGGGCACACTGTGTGTGTGTGTGCATGGATGCATGTGTATCTTTCCTTCTGTTCTGTTCTAATGGCAGCAGCCTGCACAGCAGGTTTGGAGCCCGCCCACATTTCCTGCCCCTGCAAACTCAGTCCTTAGCCCAGGGTCTCAGAGGAAATCCCACAGAGCAGGGCCTTCTGGCCTCCCCAGCAGCCTGGGAGCTAACGCTGACGGAGCCTTCACTAGCCCCTGCCAAGGGTCCCTCCCCTGAAGGGAGACTCCTTTCCCAGCTCCCATCCTGGAGGCCAAGGGCAGAGCGGGAGGCAGGTGCCTGCCCTGTAGAGAGAAGGCCGCCCTGCCCCCAGCAAGCAGCTCCTTGTCCCTCAACCCCTCGGCTCTCCTGATGCCTCCTCCTTCCAAGCTGGCACTGTCTGGCACCTGTGCCTGCATCTCTGTCTCAGCCCCTTCTCAGACAGCCACATGCAGCCTTGGCTGGCAGGACCTCTGACCCTGTGACCCCAACACCGCGTCAGCTGAGGCTGCCTGCCAGGGACACTTACCGCCCTGCCCCACTCACAGGCCTCTGCGGATGTGGGCGGGACGGGGGCTGCTCTTCACAAGAGGCTTCCTAGGAAGAGCTGACCTGGGCCGGAAGCCGGGGAGTGACGTCATTCTGCGCGGAGGAAACCCCGCCAGAGCCCCCAGGGACCCCAGCACAGCCCTGGCCTTCCAGACAGTGACGCCTCCTTTTTCAAGTGATTTTACACACAAGCAAATGAAACCCCAAAACTGCTCATGGTAAAGAAACACCGCTGGCTTCCAGCACGGCTTTTGTGTCTTCCCATCTCAGTCTCCCCTGCTGGACACTAGCTCCCCGGGGGTCAGGGTGGGTCTCCCACAGCTTGGCAGCACGCAGTCCAGAGGCTCCCGGAGCCAGGCCCTCTGCGGATGTTTGCTGCGGCCGCTTCCCACTGTCTTGAAGAGTGAAGGTGACCTTTAAGGCTGAGGTTCGGCAAGTCTCCTGCGGCCAAGGTCTCGGCGGCCAGGCAAGTCCTCTGCTGCCACCTGGTGGTAAGTGTGAGGCACGCTGGTGATGATTGAAAGGAACTGGGGGCTGGAGGCTCCCCGCAGGCACTCGGTCTCCCAGCTTCAGCCGACTGGCAAAGACGGACATCGAATACTCAGAGGGGTTGATAGATCTGTCCAAAGTCACCCAGCATGTCACCAGAAGAAAGGGACCAGTGCCTCAGGCTTCCTCAGCGCCTCCCAATTTTCACATTATGTGTGACATTGCAGTAATCATCTGCCCAGCGGTGCTGAGCCCTGGCTTTGGGGTCAAACAGACAGGGTGCACCTGGCCCAAGCCCTCACCAGCTGGGGACACCAGGCAGGTGACTCCATTTCTAAGCCTGGGTGTCCTCAGCTAACAATAGAAACAGGCTACAGGCTGCTGTGCAGGCTGCATGAGAATTGCCGTTACAAGCGCAGCAGGCGCAAGGCCTGGCATACAGCAGGTGCTCCATTAATGCTTTTCCGGCTGCTGCTCATAATGATGATGACAATGATGCCCAAGGTGAAAACGGGAGCAGAGGAGAGCGTGGGTCATTTTCACTCCAGAGTCCAGCGTCCCCAGCAGTGGGATGAGGGAGAGCCTCCCTGGAGATCGAGAAGCTGAGCCCCAAGACTGGAGAGGCAGCTTCCAGTGAGACTTCTCTCCCCCGCTGCCCCAACCTGAGGAGGCGCCGCTGTCCCGCAGCATCTCCCACTTGCACCTGATCATAGGGCTCACCTGGAGGCACCAAAAGCCCAGCTCCCTGGACTCTGCCCCTCCAGACTCTAAGTGGGTGTGAGCGGGGCCCAGGAGTCTGTATTTGCAATGCACTGCAGGTGGTTCTCCCGGCCTGGCAGGCTTGGGAAGTACTGGCCAATCCCATCTTTCCACGATGGCCGTGTGCCCTGGTGAATGGGGCTGGACACTGGCACGCAGAGCTCTCTGAATTCAACCTGAATGCATACCAGGGAGCAGTGGGGCAGTCAGACCACAGGGGCCTCAGACGCCAGGCCACACAATGGGAAGCGGGGGAGAGGTGATCAGAGCCTCGGCCCTCTGAAGGCCAGGCGAGGGAGAGGGAGGCCCAGAGGGCAGAAAGCTGGCAGCAGCACCCACGGAGAAGGCTGGTGTGAGTCCCAGGCCTAGCAGTGGGTGGGCAGAGGCGAGCTTGGAAAGGAGGCAAGGGGAGCAGGCATCCTCCCGGCTTCAGAAGCTCTCCAACAGCAGCCCATGGGAGCCATGTGGGTAGGAGCAGCCACCAGAGAGCCTTGGCAGCTGCTCAGACTCCAGGAAAGTGGCTGGGCACCATGGCCAGAGCTGCGCCCTGCATTAAAGCTCACATCCACGTGGCCTCCTGCCCTGGCGGGGCGGGCATGGTGGGGGTGGAATCTGGCCACTCACCTGTGACTCTGAAGGGGTCTTGGGTGCAAAGCAGCCCCAGGCCCCAGCACAGGCAGCTCCTGAGGCTGGGCCCGTTGAGATGACTTCAGGGTGGGAGCCTAGGTCTCCAGGCCTTGCCATTGGCTGGCTGGGGCCTTGCACAAGTCCCTGCTGAGCCTCTGTCTCATCTGGACAAGGTGGTGATGAGGCTGCTGTCAGATGACCGTCAGCTTGGTGCCTGCGGGGAGTCCGTGTGACCTTGGCCTCACAGTAGCCATGGTGACAGTGAAATCACTGAAATCACCTGGGCGGCCCTTGCAAGGCAGGCTGTTCCAGAATAGGCCCCAAGGTGGGAGGAGAGGAGATAGGGGCTGTGGCCAGCCTGGGATGGAGCCAGGCTCTGAGCCCTGTATGGACAATCTCTCAGGCGTATCTAGCCTACCCCAGGCCAGAGGTGAAGCAGCCCCAGGCCCCTGAGTTTAAGAACCGCCCGGGTGGGGTGTGATTGGAGAGCCGAGGAAGGATGGCATCAGGAGGCCCCAGGAGGGGAGATGGGAGGTGTCACGCTGCATGTCTTGGAGGCCAGATGAGATGAGAGCCCCTCCCCCCACCCCCTCCAAGTCCTTGCTGAGCCTGTGCTGCTGGAAGACCCAACTGGGGGAGCAGAGGAGATCAGACAGCCCACCAGCCAGGGGAAGTTCTGCCTGGGCTGGCCCTGGTGCTCCGTGCGACTCTCCAAGGAGCCTGATCGAGGATCTGGTGAACCACCCACGGGCCTTGCAGACCCTGCCAAGGCCTAGCCAAAGGCTATGTCTTTGGGCCTGAATGCGTCGGTTCCCGCAGCTGCAACGCCACAGCTGCGGCTCCAATGGCAGACATCGTTTCTGCCGGGTCCTGGAGGCCGGGAGTCCAAGGTCAAGGGGCAGCAGGGCCGGTTCCTCTGGGGCGTCTCTCCTTGGCTTGCAGACAGTGTCTCCTCCCTGTGCCCTCACGGGGTTGTCCCTCTGTAGGTCTGTGTCCTCATCTCCTCTTCTTACAAGGACACCGGCCAGACTGGGCCAGGGCCCACCCCAGTGACATCACTTCAATTTAATCAAAGCCCCCACCGCCAAACACAGTCCCATTCTGAGCCTTTGGGGGTAGGACCCCATATAATTTTCAGGGAGTCACCTTCCAGCCCCTAACAAGGTCCAGGCAGGACCCGCAGTCAAGCAAGGCTGCAGGCGTGAGTGACAGCTCCATTCACTGTGCAGCCGGTGGGACGGGACCCGGAGCTACCAGATGTTGCGGTGGGCCCGCCTCCCTGCAATGGCTGCCAGGCTGTGCAGAGCAAAGGTGTCCGCTCAGCTGGTCCGGGACAGACCCAGGAGGAGCAGGGAGCCCCAGACACCCCGATTTTCAAAAACATCCAGCCGCAGCCCCAAAGCACAGTGGGTCATGTTGTTGCCAACCACAGGGCACCCCCTTCTGTACAAATGGGGACTCGATGGCACAACAGCCGGGCAGGTCCTGCTGGAGGGAGGAGGAGGGGGGGAGTCTAGGGGAGCCACTCCCAGGACTCAGAACCCGTCACACCACGGCCTGGCCAGAGGAATACAAAGAGAGACAAAGGGCATGGTGTGTTGAGGGGTGTGTGTGTGTCTGTGGTGTGTGTGGAGTGTGTTGTGTGTGGAGTGTGTGGTGTGTGTGTGTGGAGTGTGTGGTGTGTGGAGTGTGCGGTGTGTGTGGAGTGTGTGGAGTGTGCGGTGTGTGTGGAGTGTGTGGAGTGTGTGGTGTGTGTGGAGTGTGTGGTGTCTGTGCTGCGTGTGGTGTGTGTGTGGAGTGTGTGGTGTGTGTGTGGAGTGTGTGGTGTGTGGAGTGTGGAGTGTGTGGTGTGTGTGGAGTGTGTGGTGTGTGTGGAGTGTGTGGAGTGTGTGGAGTGTGTGGTGTGTATGGAGTGTGTGGTGTGTGGTGTGTGTGTGGAGTGTGTGGTGTGTGTGGAGTGTGGAGTGTGTGGTGTGTGTGGTGTGTGTGGTGTGTGTGGAGTGTGCGGTGTGTGTGGAGTGTGTGGAGTGTGCGGTGTGTGTGGAGTGTGTGGTGTGTGTGGTGTGTGTGGAGTGTGTGGAGTGTGCGTTGTGTGTGGAGTGTGTGGTGTGTGTGGAGTGTGTGGAGTGTGTGGAGTGTGTGGTGTGTGTGGTGGGTGTGGAGTGTGTGGTGTGTGTGGAGTGTGTGTTGTGTGTGGAGTGTGTGGAGTGTGGAGTGTGTGGTGTGTGTGGAGTGTGTGGAGTGTGTGGAGTGTGTGGTGTGTGTGGTGTGTGTGGAGTGTGTGGAGTGTGTGGTGTGTGTGGAGTGTGTGGAGTGTGTGGTGGGTGTGGAGTGTGTGGTGTGTGTGGAGTGTGTGGTGTGTGTGGAGTGTGTGGAGTGTGGAGTGTGTGGTGTGTGTGGAGTGTGTGGAGTGTGTGGTGTGTGTGGAGTGTGTGGAGTGTGGAGTGTGTGGAGTGTGTGGAGTGTGTGGTGTGTGTGGTGTGTGTGGAGTGTGTGGAGTGTGCGGTGTGTGTGGAGTGTGTGGTGTGTGTGGTGTGTGTGCTGTTCAGTGTCCGTGGCACGTGATGTCACTGGGCGTCACTATGGCCGCCCACGCTAATGCCTGTTGCTGACTTTTTGAAAACCCGGTGGTGTCAGTGTCTGTGTTCTCCCGGGTGGAGGCTGCGCCCCTGTGGTCGTCCTGCTGGTGCCATGGGGGTCCCAGTGCCTCAGGGTCCCGGTGCCTTCGGCCTCCGGGGTCGAGGGCGCTTTACTTGGCTGAGGGCGCTGGCAGGGCCCACCCGCCGTGGCGTCTGCTTCCCCTTGGGTGCCCTCTGGCCCCCCGGATGCCCCTCGGTGAGCGCAGCAGGCAGCCAGGGCCCCCCAGGCCGAGTCTCCCTCCCCGTGGCGGGGTCTGGCATGGCCGCCCAGTGTCTGGTCCCGGGAGGGGACAGAGCGAGCTTCCGCCTCCAGCTCGGGGCCATGATGGGTTGCCCAGGGGAAGCTGCCGAGTTCCAGCTCCTCAAAAGCACGAGTGCCCTTAAAGCCCAGCCCCGAAGGCAGCAGGACCCCCGAGAGAACAGGACGACCCAGCAGACCCCGAGAGAACCGGACGGCCCCGCAGAAGGAGGCCAGGGCTGGCGTCCCGCCCCGGTGCCGGCGCGGACAGAGAAAGGAGCCCGGCCTCCCTCCATTCCCTGCAGCCCCTTCCAGGTCCCTCCCCGCCCCCAGCTCTCGGAACCGCTCCCCAGTCCCTTTCCCATCAGAGGCTCTGCCCCCAAAACCTCTCCTTCCAGCCCAGTGTGGAGGGAGGCGCTTGAGCTCAGGAGAAGGAAGGGACGCAGGCGACCCCATCGTTCCGAGGCCACCGGGTCCAACGCGAGCAGGAGACCCCGCTGTCCTCCCTCCCGGCGCCGCCCTCCTGCCCCTCGCGCCCCTGATGGAGACAGCACCAGCAGACGGCGGGTTGCTTGTATCACCTGCTGTTTATTGATTGCCGCGGGCTGCGCTCTCATGGGCGACCCATGTCCCCAAGAGCGGCACTACATAGAGGGGTTGGAGGAAGACGGTCTGAGAGAAGAGGCCGCGAGAGCCCAGGTGCACAGAAGCCCCGGCCCCACGGGCCTCACGCGCCCCAGGAGGTGTGGGCAGGGCCCGCCGCGGAGGGAGGCTGCAGGTGTGTCAGGAGGCACCTGGCCGGAGGTCACCCCCTCCTTCTGGACCCTCAGCAGAGTTGAGGCGCCTGCACCCCAGGGGAGCCAGGCTGCTATCTAAAGGAGTGTGAGGTGCGGTCACTTCCGCCACTGGCCGGTGTCGGGGTCTGGGACACCCTGAGACCCTAAGCTCTCCTGGCTGCTCTCTCAAACCCTCATTCCATGTGAGAAGGTGGAAAGGAAAAAAGGGAAGCAAAGGAAGACAGACACCCCGCCCTCAGGGTGCTCCCCCCATGATGGGCCAGGGCTGCAGGGGAGCCAGCCGAGGCAATGCCTGCTTAGGACGAGGGAGCCGAGGTGGGCTTCTCCTCCCGCGACACGGGGATGGCTCGCTCGGCGTGGGTGGCATCCAGGCCAGTCTGGATCTTGGGGCCACAGAAGGTCAGCATGCCATCGGCAGACAGGGAGCAAGAGAGGGCCGACTGGTCCACGTTGGACGGCAGGCGGTAGCGGCGGTGGAACTCACGGGAAATGTAGCCGTGGTCGTCCTGGAGAGGGTGGGGGCGCACAGTCAGGGGGGCCACTGTGCAGGCGGCTGCCTCGCCCCATGCCAGAGAAGCTGCCCCAGCCCCACTGACTGCAGAAGGGGGCCAGCCTGCGGGGGCTCTCACAGGGGCCGGGTGCAGCCAGCACATCCCATGGCCAGGCCCCCTGGGATTTATGGATTCATGCCCCTGCTTCTCTGGACCTCAGCCTGGCCTCGTGGCCACTTGCCGGGCTATTCCCCGCGGGGGGTTGTCTCTTCCCGCTCCATGGCTTCACTCCAAAATCGCAGGATCATTCCAGACCAGGCCCCGCACCTCAGCCAGTCTTCCCCTTCCAGACCCCGCAGGACTGCTCTAGCCCAGGTCTCTGCAGCCCTACCTAATGTGGCCAGACGACCCACATGCTTCCACGTCCCCTGGACGCCCTAAACCGCAGACTCAGCTCCCTGGGCTGACCTCCTCCTCCACTGGGTGCAAAGACCAAGAGCTGGGAGCTCAGGAAGCATGTTCCAGGCTGGCTGGGGCTACGTGGGGGCTTTACCGGGCCCAGGCGAGGGAGGGGCAGCACATGAGGAGGTCAGCGTTCACCCCCCAGCACCACCTTCTCCAGCCATTGAAAGAGGACCCTGGCCAAAAGAAACCAAGACTTTGGCTAAGAGTTCCACCTTCCAGCCCCACTCTGCTCTCCAGCCCCCGCGGGGCACTGTCCATCTGTGACAGTCCATGAGCTCTTCCCGGCTCCGCCAGGAGATGCAGGTCACCAGGGCTCCAGTGCCCCGGCTCCCTCAACACCACGGAGATCCGAGGCCTCCAGCCGAGCAAGAGCGGGGCATCAGGGTGACTGTGGGGAGAAGCTCCCGTCCACCTGCCCGGTACTAGCTGTGGGACCCAGCAGGCTGAGGACCCCCTTGTTCCCCAGCCGTGCCCTGGAATAATGAGGACACTGGTTCCAAAGTGCTGCTGTGAGGCGAAGGTGTCAATGCCTGTAAAGCATTCCAAGCGGATGCAGCTATGCCGTCGGGGACTGGCTTCCTCAGGTAGGGTTCATGTGAAGATGTACACTGGCTAGGAGGCGGCCACCCGGGGCACTCCCACTTCCTGGGGTTCTTTCTAAGACCACCCTGGCATCCAGGTGACAGGGATGGAGCTGGCGACGGCTGGGTGCAGCCCGGGAAGGGACCCTAACCTGGATCCCTGAGCCACATTAGCTCGGGAATGGTGACCTCTGTCACCGGGAGGGGCTGGCTGTGCTCAGGTGGGCACGGCCCCTCCCTTGGGGAAAAGCCAGGCCTGATTCGGGGTCCCCTGGAGAGCGTCCCTCTCCCAGGGTTGAAGGCATGGTGCAGGTGTGCAGGCCCGGTCGTGCCCGCCGTGACCCCCTTGTCCTCGCGCCCAACTCGCCCCCCTCTCCCACCTCTCAGTGCCTGGGCTCACCTGGCGCTCGTTGTGCTTTCCGTGGATCTCCACAAAGTCGTCCTGCACCTTCACGGTGAGGTCCTCCGGGGAGAAGTGCTTCACATCGAGGAAGATGACGAACTTGTCCCGGTCGGATCGAACCTGAAATCCAAACGTGCCATGTGGAGCTGCCCAGAGGGTGCCGTCCCTGCTGGGGTTGGCAGAGACAGGGCGGGTCCCGGTTATCAGAACAGAGATGCTTCGGTCACCTGCCGGCCTCTTCTCCCACACACCAAGTGGGGCAGAGCTTTCGGGGGCCTGTGACTGTCTCCTGGACAGACAGGCATGACCCTCGACCTGTCTCCAAACCCTCAGGGCCAGCTGAGGGGCTGAATGCTACTGGTGGGCCGGCTGGTTGTTTGGCTATGGTCAGGTGGCTGGTTATAGATAAGTTGGCTGGTTATGGGCTGGCTGGCTACTGGTTATGGTAGGAGGGGTCGTTACGGGTTGGTTGGTCCGTTAGGGTCAATCGTCTGGCTGGTGATGCTTGGCTGGCTGGCTGGACTCAGCCTGTGGAATGAGGTCACTGCCCTTGGTGTCATGCTGTCTATAGAAGCGGCCGGAGCCTGCTGACAGCCTGCGCAGCTGCCTCTCCAAAACGCACTTCCACATGCTCCTTCTCACTCCCCTGGCTCAGCCTTGGCTCCCTGAGGCATTTTGCACCCTGGCATTGATGCCTACTGCAGCAGCCCTGGGGAGGACCCTGTTTATGAGGTGCTGGGTGGGACTCAGGCCCTCCAGAACAGCAGAACCTGCACCGCTCACCCGTGGCTCAGAGAGGAGGCCTGTGGTTGGGTGGGGGGGGGGGGCGTCCATTGCCTGTCCTTTTAGCCTTGGCAGGGCACCTAAGTAAACTTGCCAAGAGCTTTGCTAGCCGTGGGCAGGCCGAGCTCATTGGAGGAGGTGCTAGGAACGCCCTGCTCTCTGGCTTTCAGGACTATGACCCCCACCTGCTCCCAGGTCTCCGGGACTCAGGAGACCAGAGGAACCCGGGAGCTGGCATTCGCCACCACGCATGCCTGGATGGGCTGCTCTTGGGGTTTCCAGTATGTGGCTGGTGCCTTACAAAGCACACATGGGTCATGAGCTGATGGAGGAAAGCAAAGGTGGATTCAGGCTGCTCCCTTGTCCACCCTCTCCCCAGTGCCAGGGGAAGCTCTACCACGTGGCTGCAGTGGGGACACAGGCTCTCGCCCAGCCTCTGCAAGGGGATGAAGTGGGACGAGGCCACCTGCCTGACGGAGCAAGACCAGAGTCCATCGCTCTCCACCCACCGAGGCCACCACCCTCTGAGCAGCGAGGAGAGGCCAGCACCACGGGCCACGTCTTACCTCAGAGATGCCGGAGTCCAGCACGGTGCGGAAGAGGGACTGGCGGTAGTAGGGGCTGATGGTGGACGACAGGAAGGGCAGCAGGTCATACTCAAAAAGGCCCTCGCCGAAAAACTGGTCGAACAGCCGGCTGGGGTAGAAGGGCCCCAGGGTGCGCTTGAACCAGGGGTGCTGGATGGTCACATCCATGTTCAGCTTTGGTACCACGGGGACCTGGAGGCTGGCAGGAGTCAGCGGGGCCTCTGGGCAGCGCAGTGTGGAGCCAAGGCCGAGCCCTCCCTATATATGCCACCAGCAGAATGGAGGCATTAAGGGATTTCTCTGGAAAGGCGTGAGCTCATGAAGAAGGCTGCTCAGTCAGCAGAAACGTGGCTGGGACAAGTGCCCGCCCCCAGCCCCAGGAGGGGCTGCACGGACTGTCCCCGAGGCCTGGACTCAGCTGAGGCCCGCCTGGGCACCCTGGGGCTCCCGGGAGGGCAGACAACCCAAGGAGGCGCCTGTGCCCCATACTCGCCTGGGGCGACAATGGAGCTTCTCATCTGCCAGTCACTGGGCAGGGGCTACGTGCCAGGGACCATGCTAGTTCTCTGCACACCTTGTCCTGCCGGGGTGGTCCTCATGGTCGCCAGAGGAGGGAGAGCCCACACCCCCGTTAGACACAGAGGTTAGACACATCGTCGTCAGAGTCTCACCGGGCCTGGGCAAGAGTGCACTGGTTTCCAAAGCGGAGTGCATCTGTGAACCTCCGTTACACTCACCACTTACAAAAGTACGCATGCTTGTTAAAACTCGTGGAGAAGAAGCTGCAAGGTGCCATAATTCCAGCACCTGGGGGAGCCCTATGGCGTTTCATGCTTGTCCTCCAGGGGTCACATGCCTCCAACAGGAAGACGGGCTGGGCTGTGGGCAGATGAGAGCACCACGTGGTGAGCTTCCCTCTGCGGCCCACCCTGGACGCCCAGCCCCATGGCCATCATCCCCTCGATGTAACGCCTCGAGCGTTACATCTCGTAATGATGTAATGCCTTGATGTAACATCCCCACGTAACGCCTCGAGCCTCCGTGGCATGACCTGCCGTGGCTGTTGAGTTGGGCTGCTCCTGTCAGGGTGGCGACATGTCCCCACGTCCCTGTCACCCATGCGGACCCACCACCCACATGATCCTGTTATCCACAAGTCCTGGTGATTATTTTGCTCCTCGACCCATGGCCCCTGTCCAGTTCTCACTAAGTGTCCAGGCACTCCCGGTTTTGTTTGTTTGTTTTTGAGATGGAGTCTTGCTGTGTCACCCAGAGTGGCGCCCAGATCATATAGTGGCGCGATCTCAGCTCACTGCAACCTCTGCCTCCCAGGTTCAAACAATTCTCCCACCTCAGCCTCCTGAGTAGCTGAGACTGCAGGTGCCTGCCACCACACCTGGCTAATTATTATTATTATTATTATTATTATTATTTTTGTATTTTTAGTAGAGACAGGGTTTCACCGTGTTGGCCAGGCTGGTCTCAAACTCTTGACCTCAGGTGACCCACCTGCCTTGGCCTCTCAAAGTGTAGGATTACAGGCGTGAGCCACTGCACCTGGCTCACTCCTAGTTTTAAGTCTTTTGATATTTTGGTATTTTGATATTTTGGTAAACTGGCCCTGGGGAGCATGGTCCTCCCCCACATCCCCCCTGCCAGCCTGGGAAGAGGCCATGCCCCCTCTCCCAGGCTAGCTTTTCTAGTGTACGGTCCAGGCTGTGGGAAGTTGCCTGGTTCTCTTTGGCCTCCTAGTTCCTACTCAGCCTCTAACAGATTCGTGCGTGTGGAGTGAACACACACCCAGGACACTCCCGGGCTTTGCAAATTCATCTCCAGCCCATGGGCTCAGAAGGCCATGAAATGTCAGATGCCCCAGTGTATGCGGATCAGACCTGACACATCCCAGATGGGATCAGGGATGAAAGGGGGGGCTCCGAGGCGTGCTCCACGGGGCACCTCCATCATGAGCAGCACCCATGAGCAGCACCCTTCCTCCTACATTTACAGCACTGTCCGGGGACACAGGATCCCAAAAAATCTTGAAATGATAGCTTTTGCCCTGCAAGGTTACAATTCCAGAGGAGCGATTCCCTGGGGTGCCAAATTAAGGTGCAGATAGGAAACGCTGGGAGAGTGATGGGTGCTTCCCCCGAAAGCCTACACCAGACCTCTCTGCCTGTGGGTCCTCAGAGCCACCCTGTGAAGCAGGTCCCAGCATCATTCCCGCTTCATAGACCAGGAAATGGGAGCTTAGAAGGTTAAGCCGCACACCCAGGTCACTTGGCTTGGAAGAAGGGAAGGGGGTTTAAAGCCACCTTTCCAGTCTGGGGGTCAACATCCAAGCAGTGGCAGGGTCTGGGTGAGGCAGCGGGCGGCCCCACTGTGCTGGCTGCCTATTCCCGGGGCACAGGGAGGGGGAAGAAGAGTCCTTTGGGATGGAAACCAGCATGGAGCTTGGCCCTGGGGAGGGTCGAGCCAGGCCAGGAGCACGGTCAGTGCTGGGCAGAGCCATGCTGGAGCTTGAAGCAAAAGGAGAAGGCCGTCGTCCTCATCCTGGCTTTATGTAAAATGTTGACAGTTTGTCCACCACAAATTTTTTGCATTCATTTTGATTTACTTATTTATTTTATTTATTTATTTTTGAGATGGAGTCTCGCTCTGTCGCCCAGGCTGGAGTGCAGTGGCACAATCTCAGCTCACTGCAACTTCTGCCTCCCGGGTTCAAACGATTCTCCTGCCTCAGCCTCCCAAGTAGCTGAGATTACAGGCACACACCACTACACCCAGCTAATTTTTATATTTTTAGTAGAGATGAGGTTTCGCCGTGTTGGCCAGGCTGGTCTCGAACTCCTGATCTCTGGTGATCCACTCGCTTCGGCCTCCCAGAGTGATGGGATTACAGGCGTGAGCCACTGCGCCCGACCCATTTTGATTTGTTTAAACATTGCATCAAAACATGATTTAAACATCAGAACATTGATGGCAGTGTTTTTAGTGCCCCTGACACTTGGCAGGGAGGGAGGAGCTGTGCTGTCCTTCACAGCTGGCCCTGCACATGGTCAGTCAAACAGTGGAGACTGCAGGCTGAGGAGGCAGCTGAGGCACCAACCTGGGGCTGGGCACCAGCCTGGTCCTATGGACTGCACAGCTCTGGGTGCCGAGGATGGGGCAAGGTCCTCAGACACGGGGCAGGGCAAGGTCCTCAGACATGGGGCAGAGCAAGGTCCAGGCACTCACACCTCTTGCGCCCCTCACCACACGCTGTAGGGCCTGGCGGCTCAGAGGCCGCCGTGGGACGTCGAGGCTCTGCCACAGGATTGGCCGGGCCTGCAGGGGGCTTCTGAGTGAGCCAGCGCCTGAGTCTGCACAACAGAAGCAGGAAGGCCTGGACCGGGGGCAGGGAGGGCTCTAGGGCCCTAGGGGCCTTTTCAAACCCCGAGTTTAGGTGTTGTATTAGTGTCTTGTGGCTGATGTACCAATCACAGACTTAGTGGCTTAAAACAACACAAACGTCTTCTCTCACAGTTCTGGAGGCCACAAGTCTGAAATGTGTCTCATTCAACTTAAAGCAAGACACTGGCAGGGCTGGCTCCTGCTGGAGGCTCAGGGGAGTCTGTTTCTTGCCTTCTCTGGCATCTCAAGGCACCTGCCTTTCTTGGCTCGTGGCCCCTCCTCCACCTTCAAAGGCAGTGGTGGGCGGTGAGGTCTCTCCCATCACATCCACCTGGCAATTACGCTCTCAGCCCACCTGGATAATTCAGGCTCACCCCCACCACATCTCAAAGCCGGCTACTTTCAGGAGCCTTAACCCCCACTCGCTGGCCCGGAGCCTGCTGTGCAAACATCCTCACTTAATTGATCCACACTGGTCGAGTCCTGTCTCTTAACGCTGTGTTAAACAAAGTCCCTGCTTTTCTGGAGCTGATATTCTCTTGGGTAGAGACAAGCAACAAACAAGTAAATGCACGCTGATGTCAGTGCATCCGCCTGCCAGAGCCCTGCGCCATTCGCCTGGATTCTGGGGAAACAAGACCCTTTTGCTCTGGACCTGGGCTCCTCCTGAAATTTGTGTTGAAGATGCTGCCTCAAAGCCACAGTGTGCAGGTGGCGGGCAGGGGGAGGTGACAGCCAGTGCACTGAGGGATATGATGTCTGCGGAAAATGAAAAACCAGAATGAAACCAAAGACAAGTCAGTGTTCTTTTCCTGATTCCCAGCCACTGTCCATGCAAATCATGTCAGCACAAAATCCCCTTTTGCTGGGCTAAGTTCTAGCAATTGCTGCATTCATAGCAGTTGTTTCTAGAGGTAGGGGTGTTCTATAAAGCTGCTGTGAGCACTGAATTAGTGATGCCTGGACTGCTGAACCATGGCTCCCAGGGGAGACACAGGCTTAGGGTCCTGCGAGCCTCTGGCCCCAATGTTCTCATCAGCTGAGCAATGCATCATTTGTCTTATGAGTGTTTCTGTGTACAGATGCTTTACTGAGGCCAGGCGTGGTGGCTCACGCCTGTAATCCCAGCACTTTGGGAGGCCAAGGCGGGTGTATCACCTGAGGCCAGGAGTTCAAGATCAGCCTAGCCAAAATGGTGAAACCCCATTTCTATTAAAAATACTAAAATTAGCCAGGCGTGATGGTGCAGGCCTGTAATCCCAGCTACTTGGGAGGCTGAGGCAGGAGAATCGCTTGAACCCAGGAGGTGGAGGTTGCAGTGAGCTGAGATCGTGCCACTGCACTTCAGACTGGGCAACAGAATGAGACTCTGTTCCAAAAAAGAAAAAAAAAAAAAAGATGCTTTACTGAATCTATAAACATTGATTCACTAAACACTGAACTCATGGCCAGCAGCCCTGTAGCTCTGCCCGAAGGAAGCTTCTCTAACCCGTGTTTCCTCTGTGAGATGCACTGCAGCTTGCTTACCTTTTGCAGTTTTGTGTGTTTTGTTCGTGATTTTGCTGTTTAAAATGCCCCCAAGCACAAAGCTGAAGAGTAACCAAACAGTAACCAAAACTGTCTTTGGGTTTCCATTTGTATGGCATATTTTTAGAAATCTTTTACTTTCAAACTATTTGTGTCTTTGAATCTAAAGTGTCTCTTGTAGACAGCATATAATTAGATAATGTTTTTAATCTGTTTGGACAATTTCTGCATTTTAACTGAAGTGCTTAATCCACTTACTTAAAAATGCCTCCAAGCACACAGCTCTTCAGCACTGGGCTTGGGGACGTTTTAAAAAGCAAAATCACAAACAAAACACACGAAATGCAAAAATCATGGCACTAAATAGACCTCAAAAAGGATACTGGTTGACCGCCTGAGGCTGAAACAAGAGGGCATAGTGCTGCCTTGTTCAACCTCACCCAGGAATATGTGTAAGGAGACAAATGTCTCGGCACTCTCTACACATCTGTGAATGACCAGGAAAACTCTGCAATTATTGATTTGGGGTCACAAATAAATTTTTTTGGTAATTTTTTTGTAGGGACGGGGTCTTGCTTGCTATGTTGCCCAGGCTGGTCTTGAACTCCTAGGCTCAAGCGATCCTCCCACCTTGGCCTCCAGAGGTGCTGGGATTACAGGCGTGAGCCACCGTGCCCAGCCTACAAATAAATTTGACCAAGTAGGTGTCATGGACTGAACTGAGTTCCCAAAAAATTCCTGTGTTGAAGTACTAACCCCAGGACCTCAGAGTGTGACTGTATTTGGAGATAGGATCTCTCAGGAAATTAAGTTAAAAGGAGGTCATTTGGGTGAGCCCTAATGCATGTGACTGGCATCCTTATAAGAAGAGGAAATCAGCTGGGCGCGGTGGCTCACGCCTGTAATCCCAACACTTTGGGAGGCCGAGGCGGGTGGATCACGAGGTCAGGAGTTCAAGACCAGCCTGGACAACATGGTGAAACCCCGTCTCTACTAAAATACAAAAAAATAGCCAGGCATGGTGGCATGCACCTGTAGTCCCAGCTACTCGGGAGGCTGAGGCAGGAGAATCACTTGAACCCGGAAAACGGAGGCTGCAGTGAGCCGAGATTGCACCACTGCACTCCTGCCTGGCGACAGAGTCTCACTCTGTCTTAAAAAAAAAAAAAAAAAAAAAAGAGGAGGAAATCTGGACAAATTCCAAAAAGAGACACCAAGAACACATGCACACAGAGGAAAGTCCACATGAGGGCACAACAAGAAGAGGCCCGTCTGCAAGCACAGGAAGGAACCGGCCCCACCGACCCTGCGATCTTGGACTTCCAGGCTCCAGGACTGTGAGACAACAAATGTCTGTTGTTTAAGCCATCCAGTCTGTGGTCCCTGGCACACTGACATCACAGGGAATTCCCAAATCTGGAATGCATGAGTCATGAGGATAGACTATATTTCTGTAATCTTCACATTAGCACAGTTTTATTTCTTGTTCTAAACATTTACTGAGTGGAAATTTTCCAGTGAACTTCCAGTCATGGGGCCACTCCCGACACTGCAGACGCAGCCACCTGCATTGGCTTGGAGCGGCTTTGAAGGGCGGGTGCAGGTGCACTGGGGGAGGGGTTCTCATCTCCAGCCCGTGGTTCAACATATTTCTGTGCTTAAACGAGAAATTTCACATAACAACAACAGCACTCACAAAGAAACCGAGCTGGAAGTATTTCAGTTCTGTCATTCTGCATGACCTCTTGGTGTTTTTATTCTGTGTTTCAAATGTGAGACTGTGAAACCAGAGCGAAAACGGAGATGTGGTGCTGAAGCTGAGATGTTAGCTCATGCATGAAAGAAGTCACTGAATTTGAATATCTTTAACATTGAAATGCATTCTTTTTCTGTTAATTGCTTTAAAGAATGAATCAAGAAAATCATGATTATCCGTGATTATTACATAACTATCCTGAAAATAATTTTGCGGTATGGAGGATGGAATATTCAAAACTGTGACTCACTCTGGTGTCAGATACCTTGGGGGCACCGCCGGCCTGGGGCTCCTCAACCTTCTTGCTGGCGTCCAGTGGCCTCTGACAGCCCTCCAAGTGTGAGCAGACCGAGGCTGTTTCGGGAGGCCTGGAGCCCTTTGGCGCTGCCCTCAGTCTGCCTCTGAGCCAAAACCTGCAGCCGGCCTCGTCGCCAGCAATGCTGGGACCCCAAGGTTGAAATGATATAGGAAACAAGGGTACCCCCCAGGATGTCTGAAGGGTGAGGTAAGCTTCTTCCTGTGCCTCCCACACCACCGCCCAGTGGCACAGGGCCCCCTGGCGCCTGCCCGGGACAGCCTGCAGGAGCCCGGCCCCAGCACACAGGCCCCAGGCTGGTGTGAGCTGGGTCAGGGAAAGGTCCGCCTAGGGACAGGAAGGGCCGTGGAGAGAGAGGTCTGCCCAGTAGGCCCCAAGGACCCCTCCGGGAAGAGGCTGGCCTCTCCAGGCAGCCTGGCACGGAAGTCAAGGCTACGAGTCAAGTGTCTGACTCCCAGGCCAGGGCTGGGAAGGGCAAGAACAAGGCTGGTCTTGTAGCCTGCCACCTGGGGAGGGCATGGGGGTAGGCAAACAGCTCAGCCCCGCAGGCACACCGGGGTCTGTGCAAACATGATCACCCTGGGCACAGGCAGCCCTTCCTCACTGGATGTCCCTGGGCACGGGTGGCCCTTCCTCACTGGACATCTTTAAGCATGGGCAGCCCTTCCTCATTGGATGTCTCTTGGTTCTCCCGGCCTCCTGGAGAGTAACCGTCACTCCTGCCTGTGCCCTGGACCGAGACCCTGGCGAGAGTGACCAGCCCAGGGCAGACCCAGCCAGAGCACCCAGTGGGCCCCAAAGGACCCGCCTTGGGTTAAGGGGGTGCGGGAGGGGGTCACCGCAGAGCCAGCAGCTTCCAGAGAAGGCTGAGGGTGGGGACCTGGGCATAGCCCAAGGTGCCAGTGCCCACCTGGGGTCTTGGTGGCCGCAGGGAGAATGTGGGCCAGGTGCCGCCGCACAGCTCCATCCGGCCTGACCCTCAGTCCCAGCCCCACCCTGGGCCACTGCTGCTGGGTCCCCCCTCACAGATGCAGAGACCGCACAGGCGGCAGAGTCAGATGGACGCAGCTTCCACACGGGCCCCACCTAGGCCATCTGCGCCCCAGCAAGGGAGACGCCAGCCCAGCATGCCTGGCTCAGCGCAGTGCCACCACAGGCCCGACCCTCACCCCCCCGCCCCGGGGAAGAAAAAGTAAGAGTTTCACAGAGATCAGAGAAAGAAAAGGCACGCCTCCCACAGCTGAGCAAGGCCATGGGGCAGGGCTGGCCCCTGTGCCCACCAGCCCTCGCAGGGGCCGTCCCACCTGGGAGAGGCCTCAAGGCCATTGGCTGCCTCGACGGGAACTGCAGCCGAGTGGGGCCTGCAGCCGGGGCCTCGGGCCTGTCGCAGGTGTGGAGCCCGGCCGCCTGAGGACGTTCTGCAGGGTGGGCAGCGCTGGGGACGGCGCAGGGGGACCATCCCCTCCGGCCCAGGGGCTGGGCAGGACCCAGTGTGGGCTGCATGGGGCTCCTGAGGGTGGAGAAGGGGTGGGAGGCCAAGGGAACAGAGGGACAGATGTGCGGGATCTGGGGTGCGAGGGCAGGGCTCCAACTGGTCTGGGAGCGTGTGTGGGGGTGTGGTGTATATTTGATATGTGTGGTGTGTGGGGGGTGTGTGTTGGATATGTGGTGTGTGATGTGTGTGTGGTGTGTGGGGTTTCTGTGACGTGTGTGGTGTGTGTGTGGTATACGTGTGGTGTGTGGGGTTTCTGTGATGGGTGTGGTGTGTGTGGTGTGTCTGTGACGTGTGTGGTGTGTGTGTGTGGTATATGTGTGGTGTGTGGGGTTTCTGTGACGTGTGTGTGATGTGTGTGTGGTGTGTGGTGTACAATGTACCGTGTGTGGTGTGTGTGTGTGTGATGTGTCTGGTATGTGCTGTGTGTGTTGTATATGTGATGTGTGGGGTGTGTGTGTGGTGTGTGTTGTATATGTGATGTGTGTGGTATATGTGGTGTGTGATGTGAGTGGTGTGTGTGTGGTGTTTATGTGATGTGTGGGGTGTGTGGAATGTGGGGTGTGTGGTATATGTGTGGTGTGTGATGTTTCTGTGGTGCGTGTGGTGTGCGATGTGTGTGATGTGTGTGTGATGTGTGTGATGTGTGTGTGGTGTGTGTGTGGTGTATGATGTGTGTGCAGTGTGGAGTATCTGTGGTGTGTGTCTGTGTGGTGTGTGTGATGTGTATGTTGTGTATCTGGTGTGTGTGTGGTATATCTGTGGTGTGTGTCTGTGGTGTGTGTCTGTGGTGTGTGTGGTGTGTGTTGTATAGGTGGTGTGGGGTGTGTATGTGTGGTACATCTATAGTGTATGGTGTGTGTGTGGTGTGTGTTGTATAGGTGGTGGGGTGTGTGTGTGGTATATCTATAGTGTATGGTGTGTGTGTGATGTGTGTGGTGTGTGTCCGTGGTGTGTATGCGTGGGGGTGTGTAAGCCACTGTCTCGGAGATCATTTTTCTCAAATATCTCTACAGATCGAGCCCTGTCGGGAGGTTTTTCCCGGCCTCTGCGATGGCTCCTCCGTGGCTCCCCGGCATTGTTTCCGCGGCCCAGCTTAAGCCTGTCCTCAGCGATTTGCCGCCCCACTGCACCCGAGCTCAATGCCAGCCCCTCACACAAAGGCCACATTCACTTCATCTACAGGATTCCCGTAACGCCAGCAGTCTGCCCCACAAAGGCTGGCGCTGCAATTTTCCACTCCAGGGCCCCGCGGGGCTCACACACAAATCCGCCTGTGTAGGGCGGATGGGGCATTGTTGTGGCTCAGCGGGGAATGTGCCTGAGCTAAGCCCTCGCCCTGCTTCTCCTCGAGGTCAGCAGGTTACACAGGATGGTCCCCTGCAGACCCCCGAGCTGCCCTCAGAGTGCAACGTGGGGCCGGTCATGTCCCGCCAGCCCTTTCCAGAACAAAGCCAGCAGGGAGAGTGTGCCATAGACCCCCGAGGCCCTCCGAGGCTGGAGTTAAGTTGGGGAGAGGATCCTCTTTCGGGGGTTTAGAGATAATTCTGTCCCACAGCACACACTGGGCGCTCACCACTGCCAGGACGTGCAGGTCATGGGTGACGGGGACAGAGCCAGTGACGTCCCGCCCTCCCCCTGCGGGCCAGCACCTGGTGCGCCCATCACGGGGTATTACTTTTACGGTGGCGGCAAATGCTACTTCATTGAGTTTATTTTTATCATGAAAATTTTTACACAGTCTCAAAAGTAGAGACCATGGAACAATGAGCCCTTCACATACTCCTCAGCCAGATCCAACAATTAGGAGGATTTTGCCCTGCTTCCCGCTTCTCTTGGTTTTTTTCTTTACTGGAGTATTTTAAAGCAAAGCACAGACGCCACGTCATTTCACCCCCGCGCACTTCAGGTA
The DNA here is from genome assembly GCF_000001405.40 of Homo sapiens. Taxonomy (NCBI): domain Eukaryota; kingdom Metazoa; phylum Chordata; class Mammalia; order Primates; family Hominidae; genus Homo; species Homo sapiens. The sequence continues at coordinate 6,550,554 of NC_000021.9, read as the reverse complement.
CCTCTCCTACAAATCGAACATTTCTTTCTATAAGCGCAAATTCCCTCTCACGTTTGACAGGATTCCTAACAATTTCTCGATGTCATCTAAAACCTAGTCCCTCATCAGATAACCCTGATTGTCTCAAATATGTTCTTTTACAGTTGATGTGTTTGCATCATGACCTAAAAAGAATCTGCTCACTGCTCTGGTTGTTACGTAGGTATCATTTTTTCTGAAATTGCTTCTGCGTTCCTGAAAAGGTCATACGTCTTTTCCTCTTTTGATATGTTAATACAAAGAACTTTATGAATCAGTTGTCTAATGCTAAACCAATCTCACATGATTGGAACCAACCCAGCTTAGTTACTGTCTTAGCCCAGGTTTCCAAGAAGAGGGGGCCTGGGGAGCGTCTAGGTGCAGATGTTTTGTTGGGAGGTACCACCCCAGGGAAGTGAAAGGGAGGTGAGGAAGGGAGGGAGGGTACTTTGCAGAACTGGCTCTTCTCATCTCCAGGTGGCCAAATCTGCTCCAAAGGATGATGGCCTCCCTCACCCCGTCCCCAACTTTCTGACGTGTCTTTCTGGGCCCTTCGGGGAACCATGGGGAAGCAGAACCCTTGGGATCAAGGCAGCTCAGCCCGAGGCTCTCACCAGGATGGGTGGGGGCACCCCAGCCCAGGCTTGCCTCCCAGGAGCGCTAGATGGGACGATGGGTTCAGCTCTGTTACGTTTAGGATTTTCCACCTGTGCTCTGAATGCAGCTGGCCTGTAGCTCTCTCTTGTATTGTGCTTATCCGGTTTTGATACCAACGTTATAACCACCTTATAAAACGGGGGGTGGGCTGGGCGCAGCGGCTCACCCCTGTAATCCCAGTGCTTTGGGAGGCTGAGGAGGGTGGATGGCTTGAGCTCAGAAGCTTGAGACCAGCCAAGGCAACATGGCAAAACCCTGCCTTTACAAAAAAATACAAAAATTAGATGGATGTGATGGCACGCACCTGTAATCCCAGCTACTCAGGAGGCCGAGGTGGGACGATGACTTGAGCCCAGCAGGCAGAGGTTACAGTGAGCAGAGATTGCACCACTGCACTCCAGCCTGGGCAACAGAACCAGACCCTGTCTCAAATAAAAATAAACAAATAAAACGGGAGGTGAGGGAAGCATGTTTTCTAATTTTCTTTTCTTTGGGAGAATTTCTATAAAACTGAAACTGTTCTTACTTGTTGGTAGAAACTCACCAGTTAACATCTAGGAATGTTACTTTCTCTTTGGGGCTTTTTTTTTTCCTACTGATTCCATTTTTTAATGGCCATAGGACTTCTGGTTTTTAGAAAATCCTCCTTTGTGTAGGTATCACACTCACGGGCATGCAGCGTCCCCCGGGTGCTCGGATTCCTCGGTGATCTCCGGCCTCACGAGCGTGGTGGGCATTTTGTTTTTTTTTTTCTCATCCCTCTTGTTTATTTGTCTCCACCTTTTTCGTGATTAATTGGGGCGGTTTATCAATTTTATTAGATTTTGGCTTCGTTGATCCTCTCTACAGTATGTCGTTTTTTATTTCATTCATTTCTACTCATATCTTCTTTTTTTTTTTTTGACATGGAGTCTCCCTCTGTCACCCAGGCTGGAGTGCAGTGATACAATCTCAGCTCACTGCAACCTCCACCTCCCGGGTTCAAGCAATTCTCCTGGCTCAGCCTCCTGAGTAGCTGGGATTGCAGGTGCTCGCCACCATGCCCGGCTACTTTTTGTATTTTTAGTAAAGATGGGGTTTCACCCTGCTGGCCAGGCTGGTCTCGAATCTTTCTTTTGTTCTTTCCTCTGGATTTATTCCACTGCTAACGTTTGTAAATCTAACATGGTAAATTTGCTATGAGTTTTATCTTTTCTTTGCTCAGTGTCAGCGTGAAGATGGTCGTTTCCTTTTCTCACCATGGCCGCATCCCACAGGTTTAGCTGGAGAGCTGGGGCTCTTCCCGCAGTGCCCCGCAGGAGCCGCCGTGCAGCCCAGGGAGGGGCCTTCAGACATCCGGGAGCGAAGCCACACAGAGGCTTCTGCAGTCAGTCACCGGGCAAGACTCGACACTCACTGTGTGTTTGTTCTTAGCCCACCTGACCCAGAAATGACTGGAGGCAGGCAAGGGGGGCTCAAGCCCTGGGCATTCGCTGTGTTCAGAAGAATGAACAGTTCCTAGGCCAGTGCTGGAGGAGGGAGAGGAGCTGTTGCCGCATCACCCGTGACAGTGACGCTGCTGCTGTCACCACACCAGGGGTGTCCTGAGTGCTTCACCTGAGTGGACCCCGCACCCCGCACAGAAACCCTCTGCAGTCAGAACCCCGGCGACCCGGGTGCCGGGGAAGCAGCTGCGGCACCATCCGGAAAGTTACAGGAAGCTCCTGGAAGCTTCGAGAGGCAGTGCCCGGGCTAAGCCCGCCACGATGCTGCCCGCTTCGTGTGGTCTGAGCACGTAACATCTCCCTTAGCTTTTCTGCACAAAACACTGCGCTGCCAGTCCTCAAGATCCAGTCTGCGGTCCTGGCCTGCCCCGGGCACTTGTTTCCCCTTCAAAGACCTCTCAGCAGACAATTGTTTTTCACGCCCTCTGGAAGGGAACACTCAGGCCGCAGGTGACGGGCGACGTGGCTGAAGGCGTGGGACACAGTGGGTGCTTAGTCTCTCCTGGAATCAACCCAGGCTCGCCGAGGAGGCTGGACACAGCTCTGGGCGTGAGGACAAGGCTGGTTTGCCTTTGGTTCCTGAGCAGCACGGCCCACCTTTCCCCACCCAGAGGTTCCGCCCTGCCTCGAGGGGCAATGACACGGGTCGGCCAGGCCTGCAGTCAGAAGCAGGCGCTCTCAGAGCCAGGATCTGGATCCATGACTCCACGTGCCTGGTCAAGGCGAAGGCGCTAAGGAGCCCCCCAACCCCTGCTGCCTGTGGACACCTGGAGAGCAGTGCTTCCAAGGGAAAGCAGGGAGGTGGGCTGCTGGGGGGGTGTTGGCTCCCCACCTCGGGGGATGGAGAGGAGAAGGCAGGTGTGGGGCCTTTGGAAGGTGACCTGGGAAGCAGGAGTGAGTGAGGGGGCAGGAGGTGGGGTAAGGAGCAAAGCCACCGAAGGCTCCTCCATGAGAGGGTTGCTGGTGTAGGCAACTGGTACCAATCCCACTGAGGATGTCGACTGTGGCACTCCTAGCTCTCACGCGGGCCGAATGGACCGAAGCCCCAAGAGCAGAGAGGCGGGGAATGCGGCCCCTTGGAAACGGCCCCCTTAGCTTCCGTGGGCTCAGAGGCACCTGCAGGCTTCTGGCCAGGGCAGCAACAGGGTGTAGCACCAGCACCAGAGACCATGACACCCACCAAACCAGGGGCATCTGTCAGGGTTCCCAGAGGAACAGAACCCACAGAACAGAGCCGATAGGATAGGTGGACAGAAGGATGAATGGATGGATGGAGGGAAAGAGATTTATTTGAAGAAATTGGCTCGGGCAATTGTGGGGGTTGTCACTTCCAAAATCTGCAGGGCAGGCGGCAGGCTGGAGACTCAGGCAAGAGCTGACTGAGGTCTCAAGTCCAAGTTCTGCAGGGCGGCATGCTGGATACCCAGGCAGGGTTTCTGTATTGCAGTCTTGAGGGAGGTGCAATTCCTTCTTCTTCAGGAAAGCTTAGTCTTTGAACTTAAGGCCTCTGGCTGACCGGACAAGACCCACCCACACGACGGAAGGTCACCAGCTTTAAAAGTCTACTGACCTAAATACGAATCACATCTACACAGCTGTCCACGACAACATCCAGATGGGCGTTTGACCAAACCGGGCGCCGTGGCCCAGCCAAGTTGATGCATGACACAAACCGTTGCACCGGGGTGAACCCAGGAAGGTTAACACCTCACTAAACAAGGAAGGTGAGCCTTCCTGCTGCTCTCAGAGCCTTGAGGAAAGGGAGCGCATTCGGGTTGAGGAAACAAAACCTCTTCTTAGATGATTGCTACTAAAATTACCATAACCCCCCAAGAAATGGCTGCACCATGGGTGTTATTTTGTTTTTTTTTTTTAATCTGTTATTTTTGTACAGACAGGGTATCCTTATGTTGCCCAGGCTGGCCTCGAACTCCTGGCCTCAAGCGATCTTCCTGCCTTGGCCTCCCAAAGCACTGAGATTACAGGTGTGAGCCGCCACGCCTTGCCATGGGAGTTATTTTTCTCATGTGCAAAGATTTCGGTTTTCAGTCAGTGTGGGTCTGCACTAGCCGGGAAAACTGTCCAGAAACTCATTCGTGTCGAGAAAGAACACAGTACAGCCCTGGCGTCCAGAGCCACCCTGATGCTCAGGGCCAGGCTTTTGCTTTCCTCCTGGACGTAAACAACCTCCCGGAACGCCAGCTGAGACAGGGGCCACGAGACCATGGCAGAAGGAGATGAAGCAAGGCCACCCGTAATCGTGTCTAAGCACAAAAGCAAGGTCACCGCACAGCCCACGAAACGCTGGACGCCTCTCCTGTTGCTAAATGAGTGGCTGCTGCCCTGTTAGAGAATCCTACCGGGCCCCTGCGCCCTCACCACCCCAATCTAAAACAAACCCCACCTTAGGCCCTTTCCAAGCCACCCAACCCGTGTCCCCTAACACTCTGTTACTGAAACGCCCTCAGTTCCCCCACGGGGCATGCAGTCCGGCCTGGTCGCCTGCAGGCGTGTGTGTTGCTGCGGCCTCTGGCTGGGGGGTGCCGCCAGTGGTCTGCCCAGGGTAACTGGATACCGAGTGACAGCCGGCCACACGGGGCCCTGGTCACACACGGTGAACGATGACTCAGCCCTGGTCCTGGAGTATGCGGGAGCCAGGGGGCCCAGGCCCATCTGCAATTTCCCTTCCTGTTCTCACCAATCAGGCTGTGGCCCCATGACTCCACCAAAATGTCTCTCCACATTGCCACGCGCGGCCCTCGGCTCCAGGCCTCCCCCGGCCTCCTGGGCGGCTGTCAGCGGGCCACGCCCCTTCCGGGCGCACTGGCTCCACCTGGTCTCCAGGATGCGCGGTCCCCTGCTTCTCCCGCACCGCGAGCTCCTCCCCGCCAATGCTGGGGGCCCCGGGGCTCGGTGCTTGCATCCTCTACTTCCGTCCACACTTGGACCAGCCGGTTGACCTCATCACGTCCTATTTCCTGTGCGCTGGCTCCGCCCTACGCACTCGCCTGGCTTCTCCACGGCTCCCATTGGATGCCGAGCAGCGCCAGACGCAGCGTCTTAGACCCAGCGTGTCTGAAACCGGCTGTTCCCACGGCCTTTCTTACCCCAGCTATCAGAACTTCACTCTTGGCCGGGCGCAGTGGCTTACACTTGTAATCCCAGCACTTTGGAAGGCCGAGGCGGGTGGATCACATGAGGTCAGGAGTTTGAGACCAGCCCGGCCAACATGGCGAAACCCTGTCTCCACTAAAAACACAAAAATTAGCCGGGTGTGGTGGCCGGCACCTGTAATCCCAGCTACTCAGGAGGCTGAGGCAAGAGGATCGCTTGAACCCCAGGAGGCGGAAGTTGCAGTGAGCCGAGATTGAGAAACTGCACTCCAGCCTGGGCAACAGAGCAAGACTCCTTCTCGAAAAAAAAAAAAAAACAAAAACAAAAACGAAAAAACCCTTTTTTTTTTTTTAGGAAACGGCCTCTCACTATGTTGCCCAGGCTAGACTTGAACTCCTGGGCTGAAGTGATCCTCGTGCCTGGGCCTCCCTAGTAGCTGGGATTACAGGCAAGAGTTACTACAGCCCTAACCCCAGTGTGACTGTATTTGGAGATAGGAGGAGGTAATCAACATTACATTAGGTCATAAGCAGGGGGCTCTAATCCAATAGGACTGGCGTCCTTATAAGAAAAGAGAAAGAGACACCAGGGATGTGTGTGCCCAGAGGAAAGGCCCTGTGAGGACACAGGGAGAAGGTGGCTGTCCGCAAACCACAGAGAGAGGCCTCAGGAAGAGCCAGCCCTTCTGACACTTTCATCTCAGACTTCCAGCCTCTAGAACTGAGATAATAAATTTCTGTTATTTAAATCACTCAGTCTGTGGTATCTTGTACGGCAGCCCAAGCGGACTGAGACACGCCCCATCCCTGATTTATCAGCAAATTCTGTCACCTCTACCTGCAAAAACTGTCCAGACTTTACCCATTCCTCACCACCCCACCACCTCGATCCAAGACAGCACTGTCCTCTGCCTGGATGGTTGCCGTTCGTGCCTCCCTGGGTTCCCATTTATGGCTTTGCCTCCAAGTCTATTCTCCACCCAGCAGCTGGGGCAATTCCTAAAACGAGGATTGCATCAGGCCCCTCCTGGACTCCACATCTTGCCTGATTTCCCTTCTTACCCAGGGGAAAAGTCAAATTCTTTACGGTGACCCGCAGTGCCTTACAGACCTAGCCCCAGCCTCCCCTTGTTCCCAATGCTCCTACCATGCTGGCCCCTTGGGGTTCTCCGAGGCGCATGTGCCCTCCTACCTCAGGGCCTTTGCATGGCCTGTTCCCACCTCAGAGAGCTCTTCCTGCAGTTCTCTGCATGGCTGGTGCACTAATTTCCTTGAGGTCTGTACCGAAAACCCGCTGTCGTAATCCATTTTGTGCTGCTATAACAGAATACCGCAGACTACACACTTTATAAAGAACAGAACTTTATTTCCTCCCAGTTCTGGAGGCTGAGAAGTTGGCAGGTGGGACTTCCTGCTGTGTCATCCCGCAGCAGCAGGTGGAAGAGCAAAGAGAGGGGGGACCCAACGCACCCTTTCGTAAGGAGCCCAGATTCACGATAACAAACGTATTCTAGCGATTATAGCATTCATCCATTCATGAGGGCCCCGCCTCTCGCCTAGTCACCCCAGGGCCGAATCACCTCCCATTAGGCCCGCCTCCCAACACTGTGGCCTTGGGGAATAAGTTTCCAACACATGCTTCTTGAGAGAAGCATTCGAACCACAGCGCCCACCTTGTGAGTGACTCTGCCATGGCTCGCTATGGGCAGAGTGTGTGTCCCCAGCCTTCTGACTTGTTGCGACTTGTGACTTGCTTTGGGCAATGGAGTGTGAGCAGACATAACTTTGGCCATGTCCGGCTGAAGGCATTCAATGTGCGTGCATGGTTGAGCCCTGCGCCATGAGAAGGCTGTGCCCACATAGACGCTGTTCCCTCTGTCTGAACCTCAGAAGGGTAACACATGGAGTGGCCCTAACCCAACCCAATGCCTGAGGCAGAACCACCCAAGCAAACCATAGACCCAAGAGAATGGGTGGAAGCCACTGGAACTTAGGGGTGTTTGTTATGTAGCATTACCATAACAAGAGCTGACCAATGCATGAGGACTTCCACACATCTCACGCCCTCCTCTCCTCTGGCAGTTCTTTTCCTCCTGAACACACGTTATTCTCTAACATTCAGTATAGTCCCCTTATTTATCTTGTGTATGGTCTGCCTTCTCTACTAGAAGGTAAGCTCCATGAGGGCAGGAATTGTCATCTCTTTTGTTCACCACTGTATCCCCAGTGCTAAATGGGAAGAGGCATTGAACACAGATTGTTGAATGGATGGATGGATGGATGGATGGATGGATGAATGTGTTGGGTCTGAGACTAGAGCGAATTCCTAGGAGCAATGGGAACACTTACGCAGAGCTGTCCACCCAGGGCTGGAGACCGGGGCGGATGTGTCAGGAACACATCCAAGCAGAAACCCTAGGTGGCCACACTGACTCAGCAAATGAAGGTTCCCAGAGAACTTATCCCCTTCACCAGAGTGAACGCAGCTGCCTAGAATAGGTAGGGCTGGGTGACATTAATAAGGAGAGGGCAAACGTAAGATACTGTATGAATTACCCGAGATGCACACCAGGCCATCAGGATGCCAGGAACAGCTCTCTCCCATGCGTCTACTGTTCAAGCCACTTCCATGTGAGCGCCAGAGCAATTAGAAAGTAGCTATGTTTTTATTAAGCACCTACTGTGTGCCACACTAGCTGACTGGATACAGCTATAAAAAAGACAGTTCCTGACTTCAGGGGGCTACATTCCCATAGGAGAGACTGGCAAGCAGACAGACTGTGTGACAGGCAGGGAGGAACAGAGCCAATAAGATATATAAATATAGATATTAAGAAATACATATAGATATCGATATCAATAGTGGTGGCTGGCAAATCCAACATTGATAGATGAGCCAGCAGGCTGAAAACTCAGGAAGGAATTGGAGTTGCAGTTTTGAGGCAGAATTTCTTCTTCTCAGGAAACCTCATTTTTGCTCTTCAGGCCTTTGACTGTTTGAACAAGGCCCACCCATGTCATTCAGGATCACCTCCTTTACTCAAGGTGGACGGATTGTAGATGTTAATCGCACGCACAAAACACCTTCACAGCAACACTTTGCCTCATGTTTGAGTCCCTGGGGACTGGCACCTAATCAAGATAACATAAACTGACCGTGACGTGGCGGTGATGGTCGCAAACGGTGTGAATGTACTTAATGCCACAGAACTGTACACTTGGAAATGGTTAAAATGGCAACCTTTATGTTACATATATTTAACCACTTTTTTTTTTTGAGACAGAGTTTCACTCTGTTGCCCAAGCTGGAGTGCAGTGGTGTGATCGCAGCTCACTGCAACCTCCGCCTCCCAGATTCCAGCAATTCTTCCACCTCAGCCTCCTGAGTAGCTAGGATTACAGACGTGCACCACCATGCCCAGCTAATTTATTTATTTATTTATTTTGAGACGGAGTTTCACTCTGTCACCCAGGCTGGAGTGCAGTGGCACTGTCTCGGTTTACTGCAACCTCTGCCTCCCAGGTTCAAGCAATTCTCCTGCCTCAGCCTCCCAAGTAGCTGGGACTACAGGCGTGTGCCAACACGCCCAGCTAATTTTTGTATTTTTAGTAGAGACAGGGTTTTGCCACGTTGCCTAGGCTGTTCTCAAACTCCTGACCTCAGGTGATCCACCTGCCTTGGCTTCCCAAAGTGCTGGGATTACAGGCACGCGCCACCACACCCAGCTAATTTTTGTATTTTTGGTAGAGATGTAGTTTTGCCATGTTGCCCAGGCTGGTCTCAAACTCCTGACCTCAAGCGATCCACCCCCCCTTAGCCTCTCGAAGTGCTGGGATTACAGGCATGGACCTCTGCACCCAGCCTAACCACAATTTTTTAAACGTTTGATGAAGGTGAACATTGATGCCTGAACACCCAGGAGGTGTAACCAACTTCACCTGGAACCCAGAAACACCCCTCCCACCACCAAAACGCAGGTGAGAGCTGTGGCCAAAATAGGCTCCAACTAGTAGGACTGTGTCTGGAAGCAGCGCTGAGCCGTGGGAGCACCGTCACATGTGGCACGTTCCCACGCTCGGCCCCCAGCGTGCTCCTGGCTGGCTCTCAAGCCTGGCAGCAAGAGAATCATACAGGACCATTTCCAGTTCTCATCCCCATTGATTGTAATTGTTGGCTGTGGTGGGCAGAATAATGACCCCGACCCCAAGATGTCCATGTCCCCGTCCCCAGCACCCATGAATGTGCACATTACTCTGCAAAAGGCAGCTGGAGATGGGATTAAGTGAGGGATCACGAGCTGGGGAGATGCTTCTGGATACCCAGGTGGCCCTGACGTCACCACAGGGGTCCTTACAGGAAAGCAGGGAAGGAGGGTGGCAGGAGGGTTGGTGAAGGAGCTGCGGGCGCGAACAGTCACACCTGTGCCATATGCAGGGCCTTGAGTTATGACAGAACAGGGCGGCCTCTAAAAGCTGGAAGAGGCAAGGAGGTGGATTCTCTCCTAGAGGCTTCAGAAGCAACGCAGGCCAGCTGGCACTTTGATTATCACCCAGCGGGACCCACTTCAGGCTTCTGACTTCCACTGCAAGATGACCAAGTCGTTCTGTTCCTTGCGGCAGCCACAGGGACGTGCGCACGGCTGGAAACGGCGCGGCACTCGTTGAGACCCCTGCTGCTGCTCCATACATTCGTCCTGACGTCCTGGGAAAGGACCTTGGCCCCTTTTTTTTTTTTTTTTTTTTTTTTTTGCGACAGGGTCTCACTCTGTTGCCCAGGCTGGAGTGCAGTGGTGCTATCACAGTTCACTGCAGCCTTAACCTCCTGGGCCCAAGTGATCCTCCCATTTCAGCCTCTGGAGTAGCTAGACCACAGGCGCACTTGGCTAATTTTTATTTATTTTTTGTAGAGATGGGGTCTTGCTATGTTGCCCAGGCTGTTCTCAAACTCCTGGCCTCAAGCAGTCCTCTGGCCTCAGCCTCCCAAAGTGCTGGGATTACAGGTATGAGACACCTTGCCCAGCCAGACCTTGGCCACATAAAGAGCTCTGTCCCCAAAACTGCACACAGTACATAGTCAAGAGGGGTCTGCACCTGCCTCCCAGGGATATATCGGCCAGAAGGCAGACTAATCAGGAGAAGCACAGAATGAAGTGACACTGTTTAAACTGGTGCCAAAATCACAGGTGAAGCCAGTGCATCCTGGCATGGCCTGGTGGACACCTCATGGTTCTGTTCTGTTTAATTCCATGATCATCTCATTGTACCGGGCCCTGGGACACAGAGAGGGGGTCAGTGGCACAGTGCCTGCCCTAAAGGCCTTCTGAGTTTTACAGAGCTGGAAGGGCCGACCTGAGGCTGGCCCAGCAGGCAACAGGAGGATCCGCCCGGGAGCCAGGAGCTGCCTAGAATGCCAGACATAGCACTGGCTACTCACAGGCCTTCGCCTGCCAAGGGGACTACAGTCACTGCCGCTGGCCCCCACGTGCATTAGGATTTGTTGTTAAATCCTGTGGGGAAAAGCAAGAAAGATCAGATTGTTACTGTGTCTGTGTAGAAAGAAGTAGACATAGGAGACTCCATTTTGTTATGTACTAAGAAAAATTCTTCTGCCTTGAGATTCTGTGACCTTACCCCCAACCCCGTGCTCTCTGAAACATGTGCTGTGTCAACTCAGAGTTGAATGGATTAAGGGCGGTGCCAGATGTGCTTTGTTAAACAGATGCTTGAAGGCAGCATGCTCCTTAAGAGTCATCACCACTCCCTAATCTCAAGTACCCAGGGACACAAAAACTGCGGAAGGCCGCAGGGACCTCTGCCTAGGAAAGCCAGGTATTGTCCAAGGTTTCTCCCCATGTGATAGTCTGAGATATGGCCTCGTGGGAAGGGAAAGACCTGACCGTCCCCCAGCCCGACACCCATAAAGGGTCTGTGCTGAGGAGGATTAGTAAAAGAGGAAGGAACGCCTCTTGCAGTTGAGACAAGAGGAAGGCATCTGTCTCCTGCCCGTCCCTGGGCAATGGAATGTCTCGGTATAAAACCCGATTGTATGCTCCATCTACTGAGATAGGGAAAAACCGCCTTAGGGCTGGAGGTGGGACCTGCGGGCAGCAATACTGCTTTGTAAAGCATTGAGATGTTTATGTGTATGCATATCTAAAAGCACAGCACTTAATCCTTTACCTTGTCTATGATGCAAAGACCTTTGTTCACGTGTTTGTCTGCTGACCCTCTCCCCACAATTGTCTTGTGACCCTGACACATCCCCCTCTTCGAGAAACACCCACAAATGATGAATAAATACTAAGGGAACTCAGAGGCTGGCGGGATCCTCCATATGCTGAACGCTGGTTCCCCGGGTCCCCTTATTTCTTTCTCTATACTTTGTCTCTGTGTCTTTTTCTTTTCCAAATCTCTCGTCCCACCTTACGAGAAACACCCACAGGTGTGGAGGGGCAACCCATCCCTACAAATCCCAGGGGCAAGAAGAAACCACTGGGAAGCAGAGGGACAAAGAGGGGTCGGTATCACTAAATCCAAGGGACATGGTGCTTTTTTTAAAGTATTTTTCGAACTATGGTGAAACATGTATAACGTAAAATTTACCATCATGACCATTTTTAAGTGCACAGTTCAGTGGCATCAAGTACATTCCAGTCTTGTGCAACCATCCCTGACATCCAGCCACAGAACTCTTCATCGTGCAAAGCAAACTCTGTCCCCGTTCAACACTCCGCCCCCGTTCCCCATCCCCCAGCCCCGGTGCCACCATTCTGCTTTCTGTCTCTGTGAATCTGACTCCTCCAGGGCCTCATCAAAGGGGAGGTCACCGTACTTGTGCGTCTGTGACTGGCCTCTTTGACTCAGCCTAATGTCCTCATTCCTGTCTAGCCTGCATCAGAATTCCCTTCCTTTCGACGGCTGAATGATAGTCTCCCGTGGGAATAGACCACATCTAGGGAACCCTTCTTGAGGGCCTGCTGGGAAGTGGAGGTAGCCCAGAACTGACAGGCCCAGGTTCGGCCCTCAAGGAGCTCACAGGACAGGGAAAGCGCCCTGGAGATGCGGCGAGGAAGCCACACCTGCACGGCCACACTCCTGCCTCACCCACAGCCAAGGCTGGTGTTTTTGCTCCAACCCTGGCCAGCCAAGTTCTTGCCCCACCAGGGCCTCTGGGTGAGCTGCAGCAGGAAGAACATGGATAAAACTAATCATCAGCTGGGCGCGGTGGCTCATGCCTGTAATCCCAGCACTTTGGGAGGCCAAGGCGGGTGGATCACTTGAGGTCAGGAGTTCGAGACCAGCCTGGCCAACACAGCGAAACCCTGTCTCTACTAAAAATACAAAAATTAGCCAGGCATGGTGGTGCATGCCTGTAATCCCAGCTACTCAAGAGGCTGAGGCAGGAGAATCGCTTGAACCTGAGAGGTGGAGGTTGCAGTTGAGCTGAGATCGTGCCACTGCTCTCCAGCCTGGGTGACAGAGGGAGACTCCTTCTCAAAAAAAAAAACAAAACTAACCATCAATGCCTGGACCTGCCTCCCTCCTTCTGGGAGCTGAGCGACACTGCACAGCTGGCAAGAGGTACAAACGGACACAAGCAGCCGCCTCATGAGGGGCCCGGGACATCTCCACATGTGCTTGTTACAAACAACATCGCACGCGTCTCTGAGAGCATTTCCCTAAGTCAAGTTCCCAGAAGTGAAATTCCTGAATCAAATAATCAAACATCAGTCGCAATGAGAACCACAGCTCCTTCCTCACCCTCCCTATGAATTTGTAAAAGCAGATATGAAATGAACAAGTAGAACGCTCACATCCTCTCGCTCCCCTTGGGAAAAATGTACACGTGAATTTTCCTAAATGCAGTTAGATAAGCATGAAACTTCACACACAGAAACCGATGAGATGATCTTCTACGCTTTTGTGGATTTATTCAAAATGTTGCTTCTCTATTAGAAAGAAAAAAGAAAAGCCCAAGGTGCCCCACGGCACAGAACTGCTGCCTCCCTCCTGCTTCCCTCCTGCTTCCACAGCTCCCCTGGTGACACGGCCAGGTTCTAGGGGCTGGCCAGCCCTTGTCTTTAACCCTCTCAGGACACAGATTCCGGAACAAACAAAGCACTTCTCACCTGTAACTTGAGCATCTCAAAACCCAAGGGCTGGCTGGACATGGTGGTTCACACCTGTGACCCCAACACTTTGGGAGGCCAAGGGAGGAGGATCGTTTGAAAGCTGGAGGTCAAGGCTGCAGTAAGTCAAGATGGCGCCACTGCACTCCAACCTGGGTATATTAGTCCGTTTTCATGCTTCAGATAAAGACATACTCAAGACTGGGAAGAAAAAGAGGTTTAATGGGCTCACTGGGGAGGCCTCACAATCATGACAGAAGGCACATCTCACACGGCAGCTGCAAGAGAGAATGCGGAAAGCTCTTCTAAAACCATCAGATCTCATGAGACTTATTCACTACCACAAGAACAGTACAGGGGAAACCACCCCTATGATTCAATTATCTCCCACTGGGTCCCTCCCACAACATGTGGGAATTATGGGAGTACAATTCAAGATGAGATTTGGGGCTGGGCACGGTGGCTCACACCTATAATCCCAGCACTTTGGGAGGCCGAAGTGGGTGGATCACCTGAGGTCAGGAGTTCAAGACCAGCCTGGCCAACATGATGAAACCCCATCTCTATTAAAAATACAAAAAAAATTATCCAGACATGGTGGTCTGCGCCCTTAATCCCAGCTACTCGGGAGGCTGAAGCAGGGGAATCGCTTGAACCCTGGAAGTGGAGGTTGCGGTGAGCCGAGATTGCACCACTGCACTCCAGCCTGGGCAACAAGAGCGAAACTCCGTCTCAAAAAAAAAAAAAATAAAAGATGAGATTTGGGTGGGGACACAGCCAGACCATATCACTGGGTGACATAATGAGACCCTGCCTCTAAAAATAAAAATAAAAATAAATTTTTTAAAAACCACAAGGGCTGACTGCCAAGGTCTGGGAGCCCCAGGGGGCTGGCCATGGTTGCGGGAGTTCACAAGAGAGCAGGGTCTTCACTGCTCCAGGCCACCTTATAGCGGGTGTTCCCACATCAGTATCTGTGCACGTTGGTGAGTTTGGGCACGGAAATTCAACAGAGCGCCGCCTCATTCACATTTGCGTCCCCAAGGACTGGCGCACAGAAGGGTTCAGGAAATCCATTTGTGCACGGGCGGGTGTTTTTTTGATTTCCTTGTTCCATGAGACCTGGACAAAAAGGAATAGAAAGTTCTAGCCAGGTGGGCACCAGCAGGCCGTCACCTGGAGTCCAATCTGGGAGTGTCAATCTGTTTTTCCCACCTGCCCCCCACTCTGCCCACCCTTAGGGGTTGTTTGACCAGGGCCACCAGCACCTTACACCTAGCGGACACCCCAGGGCCTTCCAGAACCCTAAGCTCATGGCATCTTTGTGTTTCTAACTTGGAAGTCCACCAGCTCCTGCCATCCCAGAACAGGCTGTTTCCTTGGAGTTCATGCAGAGAACCTCAGAGCTGGGAGGAGGCGAGAGCCCCAGACCACACGTGACCAAGGTCCGACCGCGAGACTGTCAGGGACGGCGACTCTTTGTCCACCGCCCATGCTCTGCTCTTTCTGTGCTCCTACCCAGAGTTTTCGTTCCTCTGAGCCTCAGTTTCCCCAACTATAAAATGGAGATGAAGGCAATGACCGTTCCCCTAAACAGCACCACAGCTGCCAGAGGCAGGATGGTCAGCTCCATGGCCTACAGAGGAGGAAGCTGAGGAAAGACCGACCGAGGAACTGGACCTCTGAGGGCTCAAAGTTGTGCATGGCCTGGGGTGGCTCTGGGAGCCGGAGGGAGGCAGCTGGCTCCATTCTGGCCCCTGATCCATGGGACATCCTCCCCTTGATGAACCGGCATGCAGACCGGCCACCTCCACCCAGTCACCCTGACACAAACGCCCACAGCCTCTTCCAGCCCCTACTGAGAACCTATGTAAACGGTCTCAGAGAAACCACGGCCCCGAAACTTCCACAAAGCTACTGGCATAGCGGCTCTCTCAAGCCACTGCCCACACCACCAGCTCATTCTACCTGGCTCACCAAGGACCTGCATTGGGTGGAACTGTGTCCCCCAAAGCGATGTCTTCAAGTCCTAACCTCAAAACCTACGGATGTGATCTTATTTGGAAGTGGGGTCTTTGCAGATGTAATGAGGCTAAGATGAGGTCACACTGGAGAAGGTGGGCCCTCATCTAATGACTGGCGACCCTGTAAGAAGAGAGAAATTTGGACGCACACACACAGAGAGGTCGTGTAAACACGGAGGCAGAGGTAGGAGTGAGGCTGCCACAGATCAGAGTTCCAAGGCTTCCGGCACCCACCAGCAGCTGGCAGAAGCGAGGAAGGGAACTCTCCTAGAATCTCAGAGGGGGCGCGGCTCCACCCACACCTGGAGTTCAGACTTCTGGCCTCCAGAGCCACGACAGAGCACATGTCTATGGTTTAAGCCCCTCATTTTGTGGTACTTTGTTGGGCTGCCCCGGAACACTGATGCAAGCCTGGATTCGTCCATTTTCCCACTGCTATAAAGAACTTCTGGCTGGGTGCGGTGGCTCACGCCTGTAATCCCAGCACTTTGGGAGGCCGAGGTGGGTGGATCACCTGATGTCAGGAGTTCGAGACCATCATGGCCAACATGGTGAAACCCCATCTCTACCAAAAATACAAAAATTAGCCGGCAGTGGTGGCAGGCACCTGTAATCCCAGCTACTCGGGAGACTGAGGCACGAGAATCGCTTGAACCCAGGAGGCGCAGGTTGCAGTGAGCCGAGATGGTGCCACTGCACTCCAGCCTGGGTGACAGAGCAAGACTCTGTCTGAAAAAAAAAAAAAAAAAACTTACTTGAGACTGGGTGATTTCTAAAGGAAAGAGTTTTCATTGACTCAGAGTTCTGCATGGCTGGGGAGGCCTCAGGAAACTTACAGTCATGGCTGAAGGGGAAGCAGGCACCTTCTTCACATGGTGGCAGGAGAGAGAGAGCAAGAGCAAGCGAAGGGGGAAGAGCCCCTTATAAAACCATCAGATCCCATGAGAACTCACTAGCTATCATGAGAACAGCATGGAGGAAACCGCCTCATGATCCAATCGCCTCCCTCCTTCAACACCTGGGGATTACAATTCGAGGTGAGATTTGGGTGGGGACACAGCCTCACCACATCATAGCCATTCTGCCCTCCCTGCCCTGCCCTGCCCTGCCTCCAGGTCTGCCTCCAGACCTGGAGTGTTTCTGAGAGTGGACCCAGCACAGGGAGGAGGTGGCTCAGGACACTCAACTCCTGGTCCAGCTCCCACTCATAGCTGGGGTCCTGGCCGGTGACTCCATCTCCCTTTCTGCTGTCTCCCTGTCTATAAGACAAGGGGCTGGGCCAGCCATCTCAAGGTCCCCTCCAGTTCCATCTTCCCAGGGCTGAGCAGGTCCTGGGCCTTGGCGTCACAGAGCCCAGCTCACAGGCCCACCCGGGAGAGGTATCGGGATGTGTCTTTGCCACATCATAAGTTAGGCAGAAAGATGTGTGGGACGTGGCCCTGCCCCCGGTCAGGACGGTGGACACATGCAAACGCCGCACAGACGCACCCTGCCCTGACACCGCCCGGAGCACCTGGGTGGCTTCCTGAATGGCGAGGCATGGTGGGCACTCATGGGCCTGCCGTGCACCCCACCTGCAGGGCACGTGCCCAGCAGACAGCAAGGGCTGAATGACAGGTGACAGGACGGCCGCCAGGCAGGCGAAGGTGGGGCCAAAGGCAAGGGTGGCTGCTCGGCTGCAGGGCACGGACACTCAGCCTCTATTTCCTCCTGGGGTGGCGAGGGGGGGCGAGGGAGGGGCGAGGGAGGGGCGAGGGGGGGCGAGGGAGGGGTGAGGGAGGGGTGAGGGACGGTCAGACCGGATGTGGCTGTGCTTCAGACCGCGCGGGAAGTCCTGGGATGGCGTGGAGCCCGCTTCAGCTGAAGGGACAGAGGGAGAGGCAGGGGCCAGACAGCGCCGACCACCTGAGACCCAGGCAAGAGACAGTATGGTGGGTGGGGGTACTGCCCAGTAAGGGCTGGGGGAGAGGACTGAGGAAACCCTCCCTCCATCAACGTGCCTGGGAGCCCTGCCAGGTGAGAGCCCTGTTGTTCCTGGATGACTGTGGACCGCTCACTCCAGCCCCTCAGCCCCTACCCAGCCTGCCCCCAGGAGCAGCACGGCTGGGCACCAGCATCTCTCCAGCTGGCAGTTGCCCCACTGGGATCCCCCAAATGCCCTGCAAGCCAAGGTGTGCAAGCCCTGCACACTGAGGGCTGGAGGGCAGCCCCCGTGCTGTGTTCCAGATGGAGGGAGGGGTGGGGAGGGGGGAGCTACACTGGGGAGGGCTGCGCCGGTCACTGCCGAGGAGGGAAAGCCTCAACATCACCCCTCTTACCCCCCATCTCCCGCAGCCTCCCAGCAAGGTTGTGGCCCGCAGCGGACGCTCCCCACGAGGTAGAGCCCCGTTTCCACACCTGGAGCAGCTGCACCTGGAGGTGGGGCTCATCTCCAGACCTGGAGCAGCTGCCTGCCCCAGGGCAGAAGCCACTGCCCGCAGCTAGGTGAGGCCATGTGCCCAGTCCTGGTCAATGGACTGAGCATGAGGGGATGTGTGCCCAGCAGCAGGGACTACTGTGCACTGAAGGCCAGGGCCGCTGGATTGGGACAAATAAATACAGCAGGTCCTCAAATCCCATCGTTTCATTCTAGGGAGCATTGAGGAGGTCTCCCCAGGTCCGCGCGGGTTTTCTCCAGGTCCTCCAGTTTCCTCCCACATCCCAAGTATACACCTCAGCCTCACGGCATGTCTACATGGGCCTAGTCCGAGTGAGTGTGGGTGTCCCATGGAGGCCTGTCCTATCCAGGGCGGGTGCCCACCTTGGCACTGAGCCTCCAGGATGGGCCCTGGTCACCTGCCACTCTGAACTGGAGAAAGCAAGTTGGAAAATGAATGAATACATGAATATAAATTATCAAATAAAAATTATAAAGCCTACGGTAATCACACAAACGCATGACAACAAACGCCGCGTGTGAGGGTGCTCAAGGAGCCGCCATACTCACGGTCGCTTGTCTTTCAGCTGTGCGGTGGGAGGAGGTGCTCCCAAGAGCGTGTGCTTTGCAGACATTGATTCCGTGATTTCACCACCACCACTACCACCGCCATCACTCACGGACATCCCAAATATTGGGTAGATCATGATCTCACTTGTTTGTATTAATCTTCCTTATGTAGGTGTAGCTACCTCTACATGTAGGGATAGTTTACATTTATTTCAATGTTTAATATTAGAAGTGTTTGGGTCTTTAGAAATTTGGTGGTGTTTTTTGTTTTTTTGTGGGGTTTTTTTGGAAATAGGGTTTTGTTCCGTCGCCCAGGCTGGAGTGTGGTGGTGTGATCACAGCTCACCGCAACCTTAGCCTCTGAGGCTCAAGCAATCCTCCCACCTCAGCCTCCTAAGTAGCTGGGACCACAGGCACACACCACCTTTCCTGGCTAATTTGGGGGGCATTTTTTGTAGAGATGGGGTTTCATCATGTCGCCCAGGCTGGTTTTGAACTCCTTGCCTCAAGAGATCTGCCACCTCAGCCTCCCGAAGTGCTGGGATTACAGGTGTGAGCCACCACACCTGTTCTGGTGATGTTTTGAGAGCAGAAATATGCCTCTTTTTTTTTTTTTGAGACAGAGTTTCACACTTATTGCCCAGGCTGGAGTGCGGTGGCGTGATCTCGGCTCACTGCAACCTCCACCTCCCAGGTTCAAGCGATTCTCCTGCCTCAGCCTCCCGAGTAGCTGGGATTACAGGCATGCACCACCACACCCAGCTACTTTTGTATTTTTAGTATTTCTCCATGTTGGTCAGGCTGGTCTTGAACTCCCAACCTCAGGTGATCTGCCCGCTTTGGCCTTCCAAAGTGCTGGGATTACTGGTGTGAGCCACCGCACCCAGCCTATGACATAGGAATTTAACTCTTGTTTATATCAACTAGCCTATGGTAAAATTGGTTTCATTATATGTTGTCTTGCTTAAAGTCACAGTTTCCAGGAAGCTGTGATGAAATTGAGGACTTACTGTATGCCATTATCTGTTTAAAAGAAATGATAAGTACCAACCCATGGCCCCTGTTTCCATGGGACCTAAGATGAAATGCCCAAGGTAAAGGCGATGGCTTCCATCTCCCAGTCCCCCGAGCCTGTCTGAGCTCCAATACTGGTTCTCTGTCCTGTGCCGTACCCCTTGGGAGACACTGACTTTCTCCCCCCAATCCAGTGGTCCCAAATAATCACCTCTGTAGTTGCAGAAGTGGAGAAGTGGACTGAGCCTTCACATTGCCTGAAAGATGGGGAACTCCGCCCTCTAGTGTCCGTCAGCACAGCAAGTGGGACACTTCCATTTCCAAAGTGGAAAGACGGTGCCTTTAAAGATGTAACCCCAACAGAGGTCAAGGTCTGAAAGGGGCACATTCTTTCCATGACTCTAGCCTGATAAAGACACCCACAACCCTCCCGCCACTTGCAAGATTTGATCCGAAACCAGCTTCTAACAGCTGCCAAACTAAAATGCCTTAGAGACATGGGGTAACCAAATTACAAACGCACGTTCCATTTGATGCAGCCATGCCACCTCTAGAACTGTATGCTGCAAATACAGAGTCGCACATGTGCAGTCACCTGTGCACAAGATTACTGTTGCAGCTGTTGGTGTTAGTGAAAAACGGACACTCCCTAAATGTGCACCGTAGAGAGTAGGTGTACCAGCCTCTGCTGCGTGGAACAGCCTGCAGTGGTTGAAAAATGAGGAAATCTGCACATTCATGTTCACAGCAGCGTCATTCACAACAGCCAAGAGGTGGAAACAACCCAGGCGTCCACCAACAGGTCAACAGATAAACACAATGTGGTCTGTACATGCAGTGAAATATTATTCACCTTTAGAAAGGAAGGCATTTTGACACATGCTACCACATGGATGAACCTTGAAGACAATATGCTCAGTAAAACAAAGCAGTCACAGGCCGGGCGCAGTGGCTCACGCCTGTAATCCGAGTTTGGGACCAGCCTGACCAACATGGTGAAACCCTGTTTCTATTAAAAATACAAACAAAAAAAAATTGCTGGGAGTGGTGGCACACACCTGTAATCCCAGCTACTCGGGAGGCTGAGGCAGGAGAATCACTTGAGCCCAGGAGTGCAAGTTGCAATGAGCTGAGATCGCACCACTGCACTCCAGCCTAGGCGATAGAACAAGATTCTGTCTCAAAAAAAAAAAAAAAAGACAGTCACAAAAGAACAAATGATTGCACTTGTTTGAGTTTCTTAGAGGAGTCATATGCATAGAGACGGACAATAGAATGGTAGGTGTCAGGGGCTGAGGGAAGGAGAACAGGCAGTTAGTGTTTAACGGGGACAGAGTTTTGATTTTGCAAGACAAAAAAGAGTTCTGGAGGTTGGTGGTAGTGATGGTTGCACAACAATGCAAATGTACTTAATATCACTGAACTGTACACTTATTAGTAAAAGGTTAAAATGGTGAATTTTATGTTACGTGTATTTTACCATTGAAAAATGAAGAAATTTCTTTGCTATTGTGGCACACACACAAAAAGAAATTCTTTGTTTTCGTATCTCCTTCCTTCTAGAGATATGGAAATATCTCC
This sequence comes from Homo sapiens, assembly GCF_000001405.40. Lineage (NCBI taxonomy): Eukaryota > Metazoa > Chordata > Mammalia > Primates > Hominidae > Homo > Homo sapiens. The sequence continues at coordinate 6,529,548 of NC_000021.9, read as the reverse complement.
AACTTATTACATAAAAATAACATGGAGAACAACGTATGTATGGTGTGCTAACATTTATGCCAAAACAGGAAATACATATGCAATTGCTTGTAACTACATAAAATATCTCTAGGGCCCGCATGAAACTGGTCACACTGGCTGCTCCTGGTGAGGTTGTAGGAGGCTGAGCACAGAGCCAGCAGGGGACTTTTTGGTTATTTTTATTTTGAACCATGAGAAGGTATTAATCACACACACAGTAAGCGAAATAAAAATGCCATTTTCGGAAAGAATAAAGCCATTTATGGAAAGCCATGAATATGGGTTGCCTGCATACAGGCAGGTGTAATGGTGGTACAGATCACCATTATTCTGCTGGAAATAAAACTGACCTATATGGACCCCAGGTGCAGACCTGTTATGAACTGAATATTTATCAAAATTAAAATGTTGAAACCCTAACCTCCTATGGTGTTAGGAGGTGAGGACTCGGAGGTAATAAGGTTATGAGGATGGGGCCCTATAATGAGGTTAGTGCCTTTATAAGAAGAGAGAAGAGAGCTTGCTCACTCTCTCTCTCTCCTCACCGTCTGAGGATACAATGAGAAGGCAGCTGTCTGCAAACCAGGAAGAGAGACCTCACTAGGAACAGCACTGACCAGCAGCTTGATCTTGAATTTCCAGGCTCCAGAACTGTGAGAAATCAATTTCTGTTGTTTAATCTGTGTATCTGTGGCATTTGTCACAGAAGTCTCAGCTGAGGGAGATAAGACCTTAAGTCTTCTTAGGGGTTTAACTATATGGTCTGATCAATTACAGATGCTGATAAAACACAAACACCTTCCTTTTTAAAACTGAGATTCACTTGCTAAATTATTTCCCTGTGAGATCTTGTGACAACCATTCATGTGTGATTACATGGAAAGAACACGAAAGTGAGAGCCAAGCCGGGCATAGTGGCTACGCCTGTAATCCCAGCACTTTGGGAGGCTGAGGGGGGCGGATCACCTGAGGTCAGGAGTTCGAGACCAGCCTGACCAATATGGTGAAACCGTGTCTCTACTAAAAACACAAAAATTAGCTGGGCGTGGTGGTGCATGCCTGTAATCCCAGCTACTCAAGAGGTTGAGACAGGAGAATTGCTTGAACCCAGGAGGCGGAGGTTGCAGTGAGCTGAGATCTCGCCATTGTACTCCAGCCTGGATGACAGAGTGAGACTCCATCTTAAAAAAAAAAAAAAGAAAAGAAAAAGAAAGAAAGAGAGAAAGAAAGAGCCATCAGAACATGAGACTCCCTGCGCTTTGGGCAGCCAGGGAGACGAGCGTCTGTCTCCCTGGGGAGGGAGAGTTTACAGCTTTCTGCAGACCATGGCAGGGGGGTTATGTTTCATGTCATGGACTCACAAAGTTGGGGGTTTCAGAAGGGACCCCAGGAATCAACTAGTGCAACTCCCATTCCACAGATCAACAAACCAAGGCCCAGATTGAGAAAGTGACCGTCTGAAGTGTCCTTAGGATGGTTTTAGGATGACATCATGCTCCATGCCACAGCCCACCTGATTTGGGCCAGGAGCCCCTCCCCAAACTCTGCCAGCCTCACCTGGCCCTGGACCCCCACCAAGTTCCGGGCACAGTGGTCTGCTCACTGCTCCTCCACATAGAGCTCATGCTCCAGCCGCCACCCCGCCCCTGCCGACCCCGGGCCTTCACTCACTCTCAACTCTACATCTTTTCAGGGTCACACTCTCAACACCACAACCACAGCTGCTTCACCATCTGGGCTGCTCAGGGCCTCCGAGTGCCACGCATTCTCTCCACAGCTCTAAGCACTATCTGAAATTAGCTCACTTCTTTTCCTTTTTTTTGTCTTCTCTCTCCCACTGAACCTGGGGCCCCCGAGGGCAGGGGCCTGGTCTCATTTGCCCTGGTAACCCCAGTTCCTCAAGCAGCATCTGGTTCATAGGAGGTGCTCAAGAAATACGCAATGGATGAGTAAACAAAAGACTGAGTGACTGGAAGCCCCAGAACCCGGGCCCGGCAGAGCGTCATTCCATAAAGCACCGGCCTTTACAAAAGCCCGGCTGTTCATGGACTGCCATGTGTGGTGCATCTGGGTGCGGCTTCACTGCCCTGGTTGGTGGGCTGATACTGATTTTGGGGTTTTCTCCTATATCATCAGAGCACATCTCCCCTCTCACAGAGGAAGACAAATTCTTCCTTGGGTCTGTAAGACTTTTCAGACTTTTTTTTCTTTTTTTGAAACAGAGTCTCACTCCGTCACTCAGGCTGGAGTGCAGTGGTGTGATCTCAGCTCACTGCAACCTCAGCCTCCCGGGTTCAAATGATTCTCCTGCCTCAGCCTCCTGAGTGGCTGGAATTACAGGTGTGTGCCACCATACCTGGCTAATTTTTGTATTTTTAGTAGAGATGGGGTTTCACTGTGTTGGCCAGACTGGTCTCAAATTGCTGACCTCAGGTGATCTGCCCACCTCAGCCTCCCAAAATACTGGGATTATAGGCGTGAGCCACTGTGCCCTGCCTGTAAGACTTTGTAATACTTAATACTAAGTTATGTGTGCCACCAGCATGTACACATAATCATTTTCTTCTCCTTTAAGTAAAAAATGAGAAAGAACAGACACGTGGTACAGGGTCTGAGACAGAAAACCACTCTGGCCAGCAGCAGCATCGAAGGCACAAAGCAACCTTTGGTTCTGCCAGGAGGCTGTTCCTCCGCCACTGAGAGAGCCCATACCCGCATCCCAGCGGCTCCAGACGCCAGCTTCTGCCAGCTCTCAGGAATGTTTTGCTCCTGATCCACTTCTGCGTCTACTTCCTGATGCACTGGCTCCAGCCCAGCCGACATGCACGGCAGCAGAGAGATGGCTGTCACATCGGCTGCTCAAGCAGTCAGGGGCCAAGTGGAATCCTGGCACTGGGGAGAACGTTCACCACAGCGATGGAGCTAGTCTGTGATTCCGCTTGAAAAGCCACCTGCTAGGCGGTTTGTCTGCTCTCAGCCGGGCACCCTCACGCACCTGCAGTGGCGACAGGTGGGTCTTGTTGCTGTGGGCTGTCCCGATGCAATGGGCTGTAGCTGTCCCAATGCACTGAACTCTGTGCTCCAGCGGGCTGGCCCAGACACAGTGCAGCAGCTGGCAGAGCTGAGAGAAGAAGTGTGCAGTCCCCTGGCAGCCTCAGCTCAGGGCTGGCCTACAGTCACGTCTGCCACACCACTGCTCAAAGCCACTCTCCTGGATGTGCCACACTCAAACAGGAGAAACAGACGCCACCTCTTCAGATGAAGAGCTGCAAAGTCATCGATTTAAAGAGCAGCAAACTCATATCCTCATTTCTTTCTTTCTTTTTGAGACAGGGTCTTGCTCTGTTGCCCAGGCTGGACTAGAACTCCTGAGCTCAAGTAATCCTCCTGTTCACAGACCAAACTGAAGGTAGACCACCTATGCTCATGTCCCAGTGACAAGATGCAGATGAACTAGGAGAGAAGGGAGTTTTTATTTCTGTAACCAGTTACAGAGAGAAGGCCTGGAAATTATCACCAGACCAACTTAAAATGACAGCGTTTTCCAGAGCTTCTATACCTTCTCAGCTGTGTGTCTACGTGTGAGTGTGCATCCATCTAAAGACATAAGTGATTAACTTCTAATCCATAACTAAGATCTGAGTCCAGAAGACCTTCCTCCGGAGCCTCAGTGAATTTAATTAACCTAGCTGGGTCCAGGTGCTGGGGTGAAAACCCGGATCTGGCCTCCTGCTAAGTCATGGAGGTTTGGGGAGTTCCTTTAGTCTCCAGTAAAGCCTGTTTGTGGAGGCCTGGGGAGTTTCTTCAGACCCCCAATAAAATTTGTTTAATCCTAAATGGGTCCTGTTAAGAATTCCTTTGTTATCTCTTCATGCTTTAAAGCCCAGGAAAGGCCTGGGCAAAACTCTTGGTGGGCTTTTGTTACATTCCAGCCTTTGTATAAGGGCGCTGGCTCTTTCAGCTTTTAATATTTAACTTTACCACTTGGTCAGTACTGAAACAGTTGTTATGGAGGCCTGTGTTAGTGAGACCTGGCCTGCCACACCCCCACCTCAGCCTTGCAAGTAGCTGGGACCGTAGGTGTGTATGACCACAACCGGCTACGAAGTCCTATTTCTAAGGTGCATGGAAACAGTGAAGGGAAAATTAAGGCTATTTTCGCAAACAAAACATTCAAACAGGCCGGGCGCGGTGGCTCACGCCTGTAATCCCAGCACTTAGGAAGGCCGAGGCGGGTGGATCATGAGGTCAGGAGATCGAGACCATCCTGGCTAACAAGGTGAAACCCCGTCTCTACTAAAAATACAAAAAATTAGCCGGGCGCGGTGGCGGGCGCCTGTAGTCCCAGCTACTCGGGAGGCTGAGGCAGGAGAATGGCGTGAACCCGGGAAGCGGAGCTTGCAGTGAGCCGAGATTGCGCCACTGCAGTCCGCAGTCCGGCCTGGGCGACAGAGCGAGACTCCGTCTCAAAAAAAAAAAAAAAAAAAAAAAAAAATTCAAACAAACCATTTACAGCAGAATAAACAAATAAAAGCAAGTACTATAGATTGCATAGCCCTCATCAGGGGTCTGAGGCAGGACTCCAAAGGCAAATATACTGATATTTCTGCAGCCAAATTCATCATGGTAAGTGGAACAAATATCCCATAAACAGGATTACAGCTTGCTTCCAGCTGATTTATATAGTAATACAGTAGTTCATGAAATAGCAAGATAACCACATACCATAAATTTTCTAGTACTTCTTACTCCCAAAGACAATGTTCACTAAAGCTTCAAACACAGGTTCAAGTGAAGCCAAATGTCTGTGAAAGAAAAAAAGTCGTTTAAAAGCAAATAAAATTTCAGGACCCTCTAAATTTATTATGTCAAAGGGGATGTTAAGCCCTGGAGACTGAGTCAGTAGCATATTTGCAAATTCTGCTTCTTAGATTACAGCTTAACTCTCTTCCCCAGGGTCCTTGTTCTGGACATGACTAGGAGAAACATGAAGAACTGCAAAGTTATTGATGTTCTGAAACGCTGCAAAGTCATATTGTCATATTTCTTTCTTTTTGAGACAGGGTCTTGCTGTGTTGTTCAGGCTGGATTGGAACTCCTGAGCTCGACTGGGCACAGTGGCTCACACCTGTAATCCCAGCACTTTGGGAGGCTGAGGCGGGTGGATCACTTGAGGTCAGGAGGTCAAGACCAGCCTGACCAACATGGTGAAACCCCGTCTCTACTAAAAATACAAAAATTAGGCAGGCGTGGTGGCAAGTACCTGTAATCCCAGCTCCTCAGGAGGCTGAGGGAAGAGAATCACTTGAACCTGGGAAGTGGAGGTTGCATTGAGCCAAGATCGCGCCATTGCACTCCAGCCAGGGTGACAGAGCGAGACTCGTCTCAAAAAAAAAGAACTCCTGAGCTCAAGTAATCCTCCTGCCTCAGTCTCCCAGAGACCAGATCTCCTCCTTCCCATCACTGATCTCTGTTACAGATTAGCTGCCTCCTTTATTGTCCTGTACCCAACTCAGATCAGATGGCGCAAAGACCTCATGACGGTTGCATCTTCAGTGGGGAAGATTAAATACACCTTTCTTCTTCTTCTTCTTCTTTTTTTTTTTTTTTTGAGACAGAGTCTGGCTCTGTTGTCCAGGCTGGAGTGCAGTGGTGTGATCTTGGCTCACTGCAACCTCCGCCTCCCGGGTTCAAGCAATTCTCCTGCCTCAGCCTCCCGAGTAGCTGGGGTTATAGGTGCCTGCCACCACGCCCAGCTAATTTTTGCATTTTTAGTAGAGACAGGGTTTCACCATGTTAGCCATGCTGGTCTTGAACTCCTGCCCTCAGGTGATCTGCCCACCTTGGCCTCCCAAAGTGCTAGGATTACAGGCATGAGCCACTGTGCCTGGCCAAATACACCTTTCTTGAAAGAAAAAGACCACCTCGACTAATCAGACCATTGTAACTATGCATTAAAGCCTAAAGATGTTGAAATTCTGGTAAGCTTCCATAAACTTTATCTATATACATGGTCCCAAACTTCTATACTTCAGAACACTGACTTCCATTCTTTGGAATCTGTGCTTCCTGGATGGCTGGACTTAAACCTTGCACTTGAATAAACTCTCCTTAAACTAGATTCTGGCCCTTTTGACTATTTTAGATTGACACCTGTATGCATACATGTAATGAATCAGGCTACATCTGGCTGCTTGGGGGTCTTGGGAAAGGGAGCACAGCAGTGATACATTGCTGAGGTCATGGGGCTGGAGGCAGCATGGAGGATGGATTGAAGAGTCTCTGAAGTCCTGGGGCAGCACCGTGTCAATGGGCTTCTCGGCACTTCCTCCCACAACACCAGTGCCACACCTAAGCATCTCTCTAATTCAGGGGTCCTCCTGCTCACTGATAAATGTCCTTGAAGCCAGCAGTTAGCAGGCCACAGATATTGCCAGATAGTCTGTGGGGACTCCCCAGGGTCCACATCTCCCCGACATTTCCCCTCCCATTGTCACTGGTATTCAGTCGATTCCAGCAATTTCTCCATCATGCGAGGCAGGCACAATAGGTGCCCCATTTCTAGGTTCAGCATCTCTTCTCTGTGACTTTCTCCTGACTCCACTTTTGGTTGATAAACTTTGAGGGTCAATAATGCGGTTTGCTATCACCTTCTTCTGCCATAGATGGGCTTTATCTCCAGGTTCGGTTTCAAGAATTGTTTTAGGTCAAAGTGCTCGTGCAGTTGTGAAAGGAAAATCTCTTGGGCCCCCAAAATCACGAAGCTAAAGGGAAAAGTCAAACTGGGAGCTGCTTATAGCAAACCTGCCTCCCTTTCTACTGCAAGTCACCCCTCTGCTCACTGAGATAAATGCATATCTGATTGCTTCCTTTGGAGGGGCTCATCAGAAGCTCAAAAGAATGCGACCACTTGTCTCTTATCTACCCATGACCTGGAAGCCCCCTCCGGCTTTGAGTTCCGCTTTTGCTTTGAGTTGTCCCACCTTTCCGGACCAAACCAATGTTCATCTTACATGTGTTAACTGATGTCTCAGGTCTCCCCAAAGTGTCTAAAACCAAGCTGTGCTCCGACCACCTTGGGCACATGTTGTCAGGACCTCCTGAGGCCATGTCACGGGTACACGTCCTCAACCTTGGCAAAATAAACTTTCTAAATTAACTGAGGCCTGTCTCAAATGGTTGGGGTTCACACAGTCAACCAAGCGCACGTTAGTGGAACTGTCCATCCTGTCCGAGCATTTGTGACTGTGTGAATGGCAGCCTTGTGAGTGAACTTAGTCAGGAAGCCCTGCTTTCTGTTAATGGCAGGATTCCCCCTTCCCCCCAAAAAATCATTTATATTCACTCTTATTGGAGTGTAAAACTCCCTTCACAAATCGTGGAAAGTAAATGTCAGAAACATTGCTTTTCAAAAGACTTTCAGGAAAGGAATGTGTGGAGCAGCTGTGCAGAAATAACAAAATGTTCGTTTTTCTTCCAGACCAGCTTATCTGCAGTGAATTCCTGGCACTGATACAAAGGATTATTAAACCATGCAGAAAACATGGCTCGAGTTCCCAGTATATGTTCCCTTGCATACTAGCATACACCGTTCACACCAGTGGCTTTTTCCAACCACAACTAGCTTTGGCCAGCATCATCTCGTGCCTTTCCTCCTGGACGCCTGTTGTGACTCTCCGCAACCATCCTGCCTGTCTAGAAAGGAGCACAGGTGAAGCTGCCTGACTCATCAGCTACACAAACTTGTTCTGACTTAGGTTTTGTTGTTTTTTGGCTTTCAGACAGGGTCTCTCTCTGTCACCCAGGCTGAAGTGCAGTGGCACCATCTTGGCTCACTGCAGCCTCAACCTCCCTGGGCTCAGTGATCCTCCTACCTCAGCCTCCAGAGTAGCTGGGACTACAGGCATGCACCACCATGCTTGGCTAATTTCTGTATTTTTTGCAGAGATGGGGTTTTGCCACGTTGGCCAGACTGGTCTCAAATTCCTGGGCTCAAGCAATCCACTTGCCTTGGACTCCCAAAGTGCCGGGATCGCAGGCGTGAGCCACCGCGCCTGGTTGAGACTAAGGTTTTCAGAGGATACAAATCCATCAATGTAATTTTCAGCTGTTTCCTGATCAGGAAAGAAGCCTTTCCACCACAGCTATGCAGATTGTTTTACACCATGACACTTCTTGAATATTCATGCTCACCTTTAAAGTTCAGTTCTTCCTGCTGTATTCCAGCTTCTTTCATAACCAACAAACCACTCCTTGGCATACAGTGACTACTTCATTGCCAATTCCGTTCCATCCGTTCCTGGTCAAGATCTCTCTCCCTACACCACACCCCACTGACCCTGTGTTTTCCATATTTCAATGGCTCTTGGTAATCACAATTATTATAAATTTTCAACTGTTTGTCTTTTTTTTAATAGAGAGGGGATCTTGCTATGTTGGCCAGGTTGGTCTTGAACTCTTGACCTCAAGCAATCCTCCCACCTCAGCCTCCCAAAGTGCTAGGATTATAAGCATGAGCCACCACGCACAGCCCAACTGCTTGTCTTTTGATGGCTTCCCAACATCACTGATGCTTTCTGCACTATTGACAAAGAGAGTGTTTCCATGTGTCCTTCCCACAGTGAGCACTGGGTACATGCTACCCTTTTTGTATGAATTCACAGTGCAATTAAACCCATGGTCACAAAAAGACAAATGCATTTTAAAAATTAAAACATATACATTGTCAGCAACCAGCAGAGGTGCCTGTAACAGAGGGAGTGTTGGGATGCTGCCAACACCTTGGGTCAGGTCAGCTTTTGCAAATTTTGGCACCAAGTTTACAGAAAAAAAAAAAAAGTCCTTTTCATTTTCACAGCTTTTTGCTTTTTGGAATGCTGACAAGGGCCTGTGGGTCTGTTCCATCATGGAATCAGGATGAAAAGACAGAATTGGAGTCCTCAAAGCAACCCCAGTCTAGTAGGACAGAGATGTCAACACCGCATTAGAGCATCATTCAACAAGGGCAGTTTCTGATGCCTCATGGGCACCTACTAAGTGCCAAGCTTCGTCCACTCCTCAAAGGCAGGTTGGCTGATCCTATTAGCCAATGGAAACCCTGAGTCTAGAGAACTTCATAATGCAGGTCATGCAGCAGGAAGTGGCAAAGCAGGATAGCAGATCCAGGTCTGTTCAACCTTTGCAGGTAAGGAGGGGAAGCTGTTGAGAACCCAAAATGCATTGCACATCTGGGAGGGGGATGACTCCAAGGAGGCCTCAAGGGCCAAACTGGAATGCTGGGAAGGAGGGAGTGGGCATGGGTCCTGGAAGAACACACTGTGCACAGGCAGGAGGCTCCCACGACCAAGAGCTGAAAGTTGCCCGGCACATTCCAGGGACTGGGAGCCATGGAGGGTTCCCAGTAAGAAACAGCAGGATCGAATCTGTATTTCCCACAGAGCCCTCTGGCAGAAGGACAAATGGTCACCTAGAAAAGGAGGAAACAGCATAGATACTGCTGTAGTGATCCAGGTACACTCAGGAATGGCCAAGAGGAGGAAAAGGAGCAGACATGGTTGAGAGAAGCCAAGGAATTAGAATGGATGTGAATCAGACAACTTAGGGCAACCCAGGTGGGCTCAGGCTATAGATGACTGGCATTTACTAAATGCTTGAACAGAACGTCAAGAGATGGGAGGAGAAGGATAAAATGAAGTCAGCTGGAGATATGTTGAGCTGAGGTGCCTGGCACACTTCTAAGTGGAGATCTGTCTTCCGAATTTGTGTCTGTGCACCTGCCACAGTATCTGACACATCAGACATGCCCCCCAAAATATAAGATGGATGGACGGACAGATGGATGGATGGATAGATGGATGAATGACTCAGTGGGATGGATAGATGGATGGATGAATGGATGAATAAATGGGTGGGTGAAAGGACAGATGGATGGATGGATGGATGTCTGGGTGAGTGGATGGATGGATGGATGGATGGACGGACTAACAGACAAATGGGTGGATGGCTAGATGAGCGGATTGGTGGGTGAAAGGACAGACATATGAATGAACAGATGAAGGGAGGAATGAATTCTCGACTTTAAATAATGAGATTTAGAAACTATGATTAAGTACAAAGTTTATTCAAGCCCAAAGCTTAAGGATGGCCACCTGGGAGCCTAGATTCAAGTTCCCCTGAATAGATGCTCCAATTAGCAGCAGTGGGTTCTTTTTTTTTTTTTTTTTTGAGACAGGGTCTCACTCTGTCACCCAGTCTGGAGTGCAGTGGTGTGATCACAGCTTACTGCAGCCTCAACCTCCCAGATTCAAGCAATCCTCTCTCCTCAGCCTGCCTCAGTAGCTGGGACCACAGGCACATGCCCTTATGCTTGGATAATTTTTTAAAATTTTTTATAAAGACAGGCTCTCACTATGTTGTCTCAAACAAAAACAAAACAAAAAGCCCCACTCTCCTGTCTCTCTGGGCCTGATAACTTTGGCACACCTCACATAGCTCAGACTGCTCTGTGCTATTTTTTTCCCCATTTCTCCCCTTTTCATCAAGACCTTTCAAAGAAGGCCTCATAGAAAAATGCAAATTGTTTTGGCTCCCTTTATGTTCAGGAGCTTAGTCCTGAGTTGCTAGGAAGGTTAATTATCAGATGGCCTTGTCCCATGTAGGGGAGGGGAGATGTATTAAGCCATTCTTGCATTGCTATAGAGAAATAACCAGCTGGCTGCACTGGCTCGCGCCTGTAATCACAACACTTTGGGAGGCCGAGGTGGGCAGATGGCTTGAGCCCAGGAGTTTGAGACCAGCCTGGGCAGCATGACAAAACCTCACCTTTACTAAAAATTCAAAAAAAATTAGCCAGGCATGGTGGTACATGCCTGTAGTCTCAGTCACTCGGGAGGCTGAGGTGGGAGAATCACCTGAGCCTCGGGAGGAGAAGGCTGCCGTGAGCCATGATCATGCCACTGTACTCTAGCCTGGGTGACAGAGTAAGAACCTATCTTGCATGAAAATAAATAAATAAGTAAATAAATAAATAAATAAAAATAAGAAATACCTGAGATTGGGTAATATATAAGAAAAGAGGTTTAATTGGCACATGGTTCTGCAGGCTTTACAGGAAGTATGGTGCTGGCATCTGTTCAGCTTCTAGGAAGGCCTTAGGAAGCTGACAATCAGGGCAAAAGGTAAAGGGAGAGTGGGCATGTCACAAAGGGAAAGCAGGAACAAGAGAGAAAGAGGGAGAGAGTGGCAGGTGAGGTGCCACACACTTTTAAAAGACCAGATCTCATGAGAACTCACTATCACGAGGACAGCACCAAAGGGAGGGTGCTAAGCCATTCGTGAGAAATCCACCACCGTGAGCCAACCACCTCCACCAGGCCCCACCTCCAATGTTGGGGATTATATTTCAATATCAGATTTGGGTGAGGACAAATATCCAAATTATATCAGGGAAGGATACCTCTCAGTGAGGAATCTGAAGAAAGCCAAAAGCCAAATTGGGATGGCATCACAGGGTGGCAAAAATGAGACCTCAGCCAAGTCATCAATTTATATAACTGCTGTTGCCTGTTGAATCATCTCTAGTCTTCAGAATACCATGAATTTGGTTTTCTTAGGGGAACTAAAACAATGAGAGATACAGCTGGGCGTGGTGGCTCATGCCTGCAATCCCGGCACTTTGGGAGGCTGAGGCAGGTGGATCACTTGAGGTCAGGAGTTTGAGACCAGCCTGGCCAACATGGTGAAACCCCGTCTCTACTAAAAATACAAAAAATTAGCCGGGCATGGTGGCAAGCACCTGTAATCCCAGCTACTCTGGAGGCTGAGGCAGGAGAATCACTTGAACCCAGGAGGCAGAGATTGCAGTGAGCTAAGATCAAGCCATTGCACTCCAGCCTGGGCAACAAGAGTGAAACTCCATCTCAAAAAAAAAAAAAAAAAGAGAGAGAGAGAGAGATACATAGTAGAAATATAATACACATAAGAATTATAATCAGAAAGAAATGTGTATGCCAGAACAGAAGAAAACAATTCAATTTATGAGTGAACTAAAAACATCATAAAGAAAATTAAAACCCAGACCTTCTTTAAAGACTTGTTGTAGCCAGGAAATAATTAAGGATTGCAGGAAAATAACAAAAACTCAGAAACAATCATCAGGGCTGGAATCTATCAATAGGTATAAAATCGTTTTCTTCTGAAACATAATTTTTCTCTCTCAGATTCCCCATTTCTACCAAAGATAAATCTTAGTGGGACCAAGTTACTTGTAAAATAAGTTTTAGCATTATATTCAGCTTCATTATTTGCATAAAGTGGAACAAGAATAATGACTGATCATAAAGGTTCTTTTCAAGTTGGCTTTGAAGGAATTTTCATAGAGAATTTCAGATTAGACTTTTTAATCTGAGGCTTTAAAAAGCCAAAGATTCATCTTCAGATTGTGCCTGTAACACCTGCATGAACTGGGTGAGTTCCTCTTTTCTCAAGGCCCCAAAATATTTGAGGTTCCTGGGCCTGTCAGAAAGGGACATTATTTACTTACCTCAAGATCAGGAACCTTGTAAGGGAACTGTATAGATAAGGTACATGGCCACTCTTTCCAGGTAGCTTTTTATTGACTCTATAAAGCCAACCTGAATTCCTCAGAGCAGTCTGGTCATATCTGAAAATATGCCATTCCAGTCAAAGCCTTGCTAGAATAACCAGTGCCTTCAATTGTGTTCTGTTAACAAAGGAAAAAAATTTTTTACTAAAATTATGCAAATAATTATATTACAATAAAATAAGAATACTCATTCATAGTTTCTGAATTCTGGAGAAATCAGGTAGAAAGATAAATGCTTCAATTTTGCTCACAAAAATATATTTTACCCAATTGCTATAAGCTCTAAACAGATTTTTTTTTTTAAAGTTTTTGGCCAGGTACTGTGGCTCACGCCTGTAATCCCAGCACTTTGGGAGGCCAAGGAGGGTGGATCACTTGATGTCAGGAGTTCGAGACCAGCCTGGCCAACATGGTGAAACCCCGTCTCTACTAAAGGCATGGTGGCGCACACCTATAATCCCAGCTATTCAGGAGGCTGAGGCAGAAGAATCGCTTGAACCCGGGAGGCGGAGGTTGCAGTGAGCCGAGATTGCACCACTGCACTACAGCCTGGGCAACAAGAGCGAAACTCCATCTCAAAAAAAAAAAAAACAAAAGTTTTCTTAACTCTCGAAAACAAAACAAAAAGAGTTAGCAATGTTCCAACAAAAAAGTCATAAAAATAATTTCAGTCCGGTGTAATTAATTATTGTAATGCCTGATGCTGGATTAGAAATCTTCATGAATGCATCAGTTTTTCATTAGTGTTGTGGAAGTTTTTACCTAGTCCAATGGTATGATCTCTAAGTTTATTAGAAACCTGTATTCAAGAGTACTTCTCAGTGTCCTTTCCATGAATTTCCTTGAAGAAAAGATAAACTTTGGACTGCAGCTGATTGTAAACCACTTTTTTTCTTTTCTTTTTTCTTTTCTTTTTTTTTTTTTTTTTGAGATAGAGTCTCCCTCTGTTTCCCAGGCTGGAGTGCAGCAGTGTGATCTCAGCTCACTGCAATCTCCACCTCCAGGGTTCAAGCGATTCTCCTGCCTCAGCCTCCCAAGTAGCTGGGACCACAGCTGTGAATCCATCTGGTCCTGGACTTTTTTTGGTTGGTAGACTATTAATTATTGCCTCAATTTCAGAGCCTGTTATTGGTCTATTCAGGGATTCAACTTCTTCCTGGTGTAGTCTTGGGAGGGTGTATGTGTCCAGGAATTTATCTATTTCTTCTAGATTTTCTAGTTTTATTGTGTAGAGGTGTTCATAGTATTCTCTGATGGTAGTTTGTATTTCTGTGGGATTGGTGGTGATATCCCCTTTATCATCTTTTATTGCGTCTATCTGATTCTTCTCTCTTTTCTTCTTTATTAGTCTTGCTAGCGGTCTATCAATTTTGTTGATCTATTCAAAAAACCAGCTCCTGGATTCATTGATTTTTTGAAGGGTTTTTTGTGTCTCTATCTCCTTCAGTTCTGCTCTGATCTTAGTTATTTCTTGTCTTCTGCTAGCTTTTAAATGTGTTTGCTCTTGCTTCTCTAGTTCTTTTAGTTGTGATGTTAGGGTGTCAATTTTAGAACTTTCCTGCTTTCTCTTGTGGGTATTTAGTGCTGTCCAGCTTTGTTCCATTGCTGGTGAGGAGCTGCATTCCTTTGGAGGGGGAGAGGCGCTCTGATTTTTAGAATCTTCAGCTTTTCTGCTCTGTTTTTTCCCCATCTTTGTGGTTTTATCTACCTTTGGTCTTTGATGATGGTGATGTACAGATGGGGTTTTGGTGTGGATGTCCTTTCTGTTTGTTAGTTTTCCTTCTAACAGTCAGGACCCTCAGCTGCAAGTCTGTTGGAGTTTGCTGGAGGTCCACTCCAGACCCTGTTTGCCTGGGTATCAGCAGCAGAGGCTGCAGAACAGTGAATATTGCTGAACAGCAAATGTTGCTGCCTGATCGTTCCTCTGGAAGCTTCGTCTCAGAGGGGTACCCGGCCATGTGAGGTGTCAGTCTGCCCCTTCTGGAGGGTGCCTCCCAGTTAGGCTACTTGGGGGTCAGGGACCCACTTGAGGAGGCAGTCTGTCCGTTCTCAGATCTCAAACTCCGTGCTGGGAGAACCACTGCTCTCTCCCATTCTGGCTAAATGAATGACTTATTTTACACAGACCTGTGATCCTATTTTGATATCAAATGTTTTCTTTTTTCCTTTTTTTTTTTTTTTAGATGGAATCTCGCTCTGTCACCCAGTCTGGAGTGTAGTGGTGTGATCTCAGCTCACTACAACCTCCGCCTCCTGGATTCAAATGATTCTCCTACCTCAGCCACCCAACTAGCTGGGATTACAGGTGTGCACCATCACACCTGGGTAATTTTTGTATTTTTAGTAGAGATAGGGTTTTGCCACGTTGGTCAGGCTGGTCTTGAACTCATGACCTCAGGTGATCCACCCACCTCGGCCTCCCAAAGTGCTGTGATTATAGGCGTGAGCCACTGTGTCTGGCCATATTTTGATATCAAATGTTTTAAACCTTTGATATTTGACATACTTCCCAAAATCAATTTTTTTTTTGTTTTTTGAGATAGGGTCTCACTCTTTTACTCAGGCTGGAGTGGCACAGTCATGGCTCACTGTAACCTCTCCCTCCTGGGCTCAAGCAGTACTCCCACCTCAGCCTCTAGAGCAGCTGAGACTACAGATGCACGCCACCACACTCAGCTTAATTTTTAAATTCTTTTTTTAGAGATGAGGCTTGATCATATTGTCCAGGCTGATCTTGAACTCCTGGGCTCAAGCGATCTGCCTTCCTTGGCTTCCCAATGTGCTGGGATTACCAGTGTGAGCCACTGTACCCAGCCAAAAATCAAATTTCAAATTCTAAAATTAAGTCTTTTTGACCTGAACTAATGTGGACATAACCTGGACATAACAAATAGAAACTCCTGGAAATCCAAATAGTAGGCTTACTCGGTATGTTAGAATCATACAGGAAGCATTGTCAAATAAACAATAGCGTTTAACTTTCTTTGAGTTATATGTGTATCACACAAGTATAAATGTGTGATTAATATTTGTTCCAAAATCATATGAGATTTCTAAAATTTTGATATGTCCTGGTATATGTTATCAGTCATAATTATGATTATGATGTTACATTGTTAGATGCCACAGAAATAACCAATTTTCCTTGTCACAGGCATCTTTAACTATGGCTACTATAAGTCTTTTGTCATCCGTAGACAATTACTGTTTTACTTTGATTCTTTTCGAAAAGTGGTTTACGGCCTGGCATGGTGGCTCACACCTGTAATCCCAGCACTTTGGGAGGTCGAGGCTGGTAGATCACCTGAGGTCAGGAGTTTGAGGCCAGCCTGGCCAACGTGGTGAAACCCCGTCTCTACTAAAAATACAAAAATTAGCCGGATGTGGTGGTGGGCACCTGTAGTCCCAGCTGAATGCTACCAGAGGTACAAGGAGGAGCTGGTACCATTCCTTCTGAAACTATTCCAATCAACAGAAAAAGAGGGAGTCCTCCCTAACTCATTTTATGAGGCCAGCATCATCCTGATACCAAAGGCTGGCAGAGACACAACAAAAAAAGAGAATTTTAGACTAATATCCCTGATGAACACTGATGCAAAAATCCTCAGTAAAATACTGCCAAACCGAATCCAGCAGCACATCAAAAAGCTTATCCACCATGATTAAGTGGGCTTCATCCCTGGGATGCAAGGCTGGTTCAATATACGCAAATCAATAAACATATAATGTTTATTGATTTAACATTATATATTAAATCAGCATATAAACAGAACTAAAGACGAAAACCACATGATTATCTCAATAGATGCAGAAAAGGCCTTGACAAAATTCAACAGCCCTTCATGCTAAAAACTCTCAATAAATTAGGTATTGATGGGACATATCTCAAAATAATAAGAGCTATTTATGACAAACCCACAGCCAATACCATACTGAATGGGCAAAAACTGGAAGCATTCCCTTTGAAAACCGGCACAAGACAGGGATGCCCTCTCTCACCACTCCTATTCAATGTAGTGTTGGAAGTTCTGGCCAAGGCAATTAGGCAGGAGAAGGAAATAAAGGGTATTCAATTAGGAAAAGAGGAAGTCAAATTGTCCCTGTTTGCAGATGGCATGATTGTATATTTAGAAAACCCCATTGTCTCAGCCCAAAATCTCCTTAAGCTGATAAGCAACTTCAGCAAAGTCTCAGGATACAAAATCAATGTGCAAAAATCACAAGCATTCTTGTACACCAATAACAGACAGAGAGCCAAATCATGAGTGAACTCCCATTCACAATTGCTTCAAAGAGAATAAAATACCTAGGAATCCAACTTACAAGAGATGTGAAGGACCTCTTCAAGGAGAACTACAAACCACTGCTCAAAGAAATAAAAGAGGACACAAACAAATGGAAGAACATTCCATGCTCATGCATAGGAAGAATCAATATCGTGAAAATGGCCATACTGCCCAAGGTAATTTATAGATTCAATGCCATCCCCATCAAGCTACCAATGACTTTCTTCACAGAATTGGAAAAAACTACTTTAAAGTTTATATGGAACCAAAAAAGAACCCACATTGCCAAGACAATCCTAAGCCAAAAGAACAAAGCTGGAGGCATCACACTACCTGACTTCAAACTATACTACAAGGCTACAGTAACCAAAACAGCATGGTACTGGTACCAAAACAGAGATATAGACAAATGGAATAGAACAGAGCCCTCAGAAACAATACCACACATCTACAACCATCTGATCTTTGACAAACCTGACAAAAACAAGAAATGGGGAAAGGATTCCCTATTTAATAAATGGTGCTGGGAAAACTGGCTAGCCATATGTAGAAAGCTGAAACTGGATCCCTTCCTTACACCTTATACAAAAATTAATTCGAGATGGATTAAAGACTTAAATGTTAGACCTAAAACCATAAAAACCCTAGAAGAAAACCTAGGCAATACCATTCAGGACATAGGCATGGGCAAGGACTTCATGTCTAAAACACCAAAAGCAATGGCAACAAAAGCCAAAATTGACAAATGGGATCTAATTAAACTAAAGAGCTTCTGCACAGCAAAAGAGACTACCATCAGAGTGAACAGGCAACCTACAGAATGGGAGAAAATTTTTGCAATCTACTCATCTGACAAAGGGCTAATATCCAGAATCTACAAAGAACTCAAACAAACTTACAAGAAAAAAACAAACAACCCCATCAAAAAGTGGGCAAAGGATATGAACAGACACTTCTCAAAAGAAGACATTTATGCAGCCAACAGACACATGAAAAAATGCTTATCATCACTGGCCATCAGAGAAATGCAAATCAAAACCATAATGAGATACCATCTCACACCAGTTAGAATGGCGATCATTAAAAAGTCAGGAAACAACAGGTGCTGGAGAGGATGTGGAGAAATAGGAACACTTTTACACTGTTGGTGGAACTGTAAACTAGTTCAACCATTGTAGAAGTCAGTGTGGTGATTCCTCAAGGATCTAGAACTAGAAATACCATTTGACCCAGCCATCTCATTACTGGGTATATACCCAAAGGATTATAAATCAGGCTGCTATAAAGACACATGCACACGCATGTTTATTGCGGCACTATTCACAATAGCAAAGACTTGTGTCTAAATGTCAATCAATGATAGACTGGATTAAGAAAATGTGGCACATATATACCATGGAATACTATGCAGCCATAAAAAAGGATGAGTTCATGTCCTTTGTAGGGACATGGATGAAGCTGGAAACCATCATTCTCAGCAAACTATCGCAAGGACAAAAAACCAAACACCGCATGTTCTCACTCATAGGGGGGAATTGAACAATGAGAACACTTGGACACAGGAAGGGGAACATCACACACCGGGGCCTGTTGTGGGGTGAGGGGAGTGGGGAGGGATAGCATTAGGAGATATACCTAATGTAAATGACGAGTTAATGGGTGCAGCACACCAACATGGCACATGTATACATATGTAACAAATCTGCACATTGTGCACATGTACCCTAGAACTTAAAGTATAATAAAAAAAATAAATAAAGATTTCAAAGAGCAACTCTTTTACTCTAAAATAGAGCAGAGACTCAGTTCCCAATCAAGAGACATAATAAAGATAGCATGAGGCAAATTCTCCCAGCCCCCTTTTTTTGCAGTTTATTCAAAAGGTAAACAAATCTTTTACTTTTTTTTTTTTAGATAGAGTCTCGCTCTGTTGCCCAGATTGGAGTGCAGTGGCACAATTTCAGCTCACTGCAACCTCCACCTCCCGAGTTCAAGCGATTTTCCTGCCTCAGCCTCCCAAGTAGCTGAGATTACAGGCATATACCACCACACCTGGCTAATTTTTGTATTTTTAGTAGAGACAGGGTTTCACCATGTTGGTCATGCTGGTCTTGAACTGCTGACCTCAAGTGATCCACCCACCTTGGCCTCCCAGTGTGCTGGGATTACAGGCATAAGCCACCACACCCAGCTTACTATCTCTTCTTAACACAACATGAAATTCTTATTCAACAGAGAAAACAAGATTTAACTTTTATATTAGTGTATTATCAATCGTCCATTCTCAGGCAGCTTTGACCATACAAAGTAAGATTCCCAAAAACCTTTTATAAACTCTTACAATTTTCTTTTTCCTAATTTTTAAAATAACAGTGATAGGGTCTCACTATCCTACCCAGGCTGGTCTCAATCTCATGGCCTCAAAGTGCTAGAATTACAAGGATGAACAACCATGCCCGGCCCAACTCTTACAATTTTCTATTAAAGAGCACACCAATACTCCAAGAAAACCTACTGTTCAGACACAGGGGCCCAGACTCTGGCCTAGCATCACTGTGCTTTTTTTTTTAGACTCAGTCTCCCTCTGTCACCCAGGCTGGAGTGCAGTAGCGCGATCTTGGCTCACTGCAAGCTCCGCCTCCCAGGTTCATGCCATTCTCCTGCCTCAGTCTCCTGAGTAGCTGGGACTACAGGCGCCTGCCACCACGCCTGGCTAATTTTTCTTTGTATTTTTAGTAGAGATGGGGTTTCGCCATGTTAGCCAGGATGATCTCGATCTCCTGACCTCATGATCCACCCACCTTCGCCTCCCAAAGTGCTGGGATTACAGGTGTGAGCCACTGCACCCAGCCAAGCAGTCCCTTCTTTAAGCCAATTAATTATAGCTTTTTCATATATTTTGGTAGTGAAATATCACATACACATGACACATATAAACATATAGACATACAGACAGAAGCAGATCTTATAGTTTTTATAAAGAATCTTCTCTCCAATTCCCCATTTCTACCAAAGAGAAATCTTAGCAAGACCAACTAACTTGTAAAGTAAGTTTTAGCATTAATACTTAACCTGATTATGCTCTCAAATAGTTTTTATTTCCCCCTTTTACATGATCCCTAAGCAACTGTTAGCTAGGCAACACTAAATTGGCACTTCTAAAGGGATGACTGAGGTGAAACAAAGTAGAAAAAATTCACATCTCAAAAGCACAGAGCTGAATTCAAACCAAGGAAGAAGGGTGTAGGTAAAAGCCTAGTTGTGGGCGGCAAACCACCTACGTGCCGAGGCAAGAGACCGAGGGCACGAGCTTTTCCAGTATAATAAAATATATAAAACAACAAGAGTTATACTAGATCTAGATCATAGACATGATTATATATGAAAATCATTAATCATTAGTTTGTAGCAATTACTCTTTATTCCAATATTACAATAATCCTCGCTCTACAATCATAACCTAGGAAAAACCAGGCCATACAGACACAGGAGCTGAGGGGACATAGTGAGAAGTGACCAGAAGACAAGCATGCGAGCCTTCTGTTATGCCCGGACAGGGCCACCAGAGGGCTCCTTGGTCTAGCGGTAACGCCAGCGTCTGGGAAGACGCCTGTTGTCAAGCGGACCATGGTCTAGCAGTAGCGTCAGTGTCAAGGAAAAACACCGGCTACTTAGCAGACCGGGAAAGGGAGTCTCCCTTTCCCCACGGGAGTTCAGAGAAGACTCTACTCCTCCATCTCTTGTGGAGGGCCTCAGGCCCACCTTCAGTTATCCGAAGGCATACCATCTCCCTGTGACGCTGTGCTTCAGTGGTCACACTCCTAGTCCGCCTTCGTGTTCCATCCTGTACACCTGGCTCTGCCTTCTAGATAGCAGTAGCAAATTAGTGAAAGTACTAAAAGTCTCTGATATGCAGAAATAATGGCGCAAGCTGTCTCTCTCTCTCCCCCTCTCTGCCTTGGCTGCCAGGCAGGGAAGGGCCCCCTGTCCAGTGGACACGTGACCCACGTGACCCTACCTATCATTGGAGATGACTCACACTCTTTACCCTGCCCCTTTTGCTTTGTATCCAATAAATAACAACGCAGCCAGACATTCGGGGCCATTACCGGTCTCCGCATCTTGGTGTTAGTGGTCCCCCAGGCCCACCTGTCTTTCCTTTTATCTCTTTGTCTTGTGTCTTTATTTCTACAATCTCTCGTCTCTGCACATGGGGAGAAAAACCCACCGATCCTGTGGGGCTGGTCCCTACACCTAGTGAAGACGAGGTTGCCAGGAAAAGTATTTCCACCGAAGGCAAGGTCTGTGATGTAAACTGTAAGACAGTGTCTTCAGCCAATGTCTTCCCCATCTTCAGTTTCTAGCAGTTTGGGTGCAGGGAGGGAGACACCCTTACAAATGGAGATTTCCTTCATATATATAAATTTTTTTTACAAAGAGTTTCAAAATAGCCAGCTAAATGCTAGAAAGCCATATTTTGGATATCAAAGTTACACAAGGGTCTGCATTAGTTAGGGTTCTCCAGAGGGGCAGAACTAACAGAATAGACATATATATGAAAGGGAGTATATTAGGGAGAACTAGTTCACACCATCACAGGGTGAAGTCCCATGATACACCGTCTGCAAGCTGCAGAAGAAGGAAGCCAGGAGTGGCTCAGTCGGAGTCCAAAAGCCTCAAAAGTAGGGAAGCCAACAGTGCAGGCTTCAATCTGTGGCTGAAGGCCCGAGAGTCCCAAGCAAACCACTGGCTTAAGTCCAAGAGTCCAAAGGCCAAAGAACCTGGAGTCTGATGTCCAAGGGCAGGGGGAACGGAGGAGGCATCCAGCACAGGAGAAAGATGAAAGTGAAACTGCCTCTGCAAAAATTACAACTGAGGAAATGATGACAGTGAAAGAGATCAGACCTACCTGACTCCATCTTGCTTCTAACCTTTAGGCTGTCTTTGTTCATGCCTGGGCACAGGCCAACTAACCTTGGGAAGGAATTTAGCTTATAGTTTGACTCTGAAACAAAATTGATAATAGCCATTTCCCAGAAAGATCCCCTTCTTGCCTAGGAACCAGTCTGCCTTTGTAGGAGTAACAAATTAGCTACAAGATTAGAAATTTTAAGGCCCAAGGTGGCTGCCTTCACGTTAGTACCCGTGTGAAGTCGACAGGGACGGTTCCTGTTGTCTTCTTGAAGGCCACATCTGGTCCTCATTCTTGGGCTTATTTGGTGTGCTGTTGAAGGGGCAGACTAGAGAAATGGCAGGGAGCCTCTTATGTAGGGCAGGTAGGCGCCTGTGGGACTAGGTGTGGCATGCAGAAGCTTCTTTCTTGGTATTCCTAGATTGATTGGTATAAGGCTCCTACCCCCCAAAGTAGTTGATCCTTGGAACGAAAGGATGGCCATGTTCAGAGTGTATGACAACATCAGGATCCTGGGAAACTTTGAAAAGCACCCCAAAAGCTGATCAGGGACCCCATATGGCTTCGAGATTGGAAGGGGAATGAATTGCAACGCTGTATGCTAAAGAAGAAAATGGTTGGAAACAGAATGTTTGCTGATGAGCTGCACAACCTCAATAAACGCATCAGCTGTCTCTACAAACACTTTAACTGACATGGGAAATATCGATAGAAGAGAAAGCTGAGAACTTCAGAAAAGGCTCATCTGTCACCCTGGAGAAGGGAAGCTGTACTTTTCCTTATGAGGAAACGGCTTTGTATGCTCTCTGTAATAAAATGGGGCTTCTTTGAAAAAAAAAAAAAGAAATTTTGATTTAAAGGTCATCCAGCCTCTGGCTGTCCAAACCTCCCGAAATTGCTCCTGGGGATAACATCACCATTGTAATCCGAAGATCAGTGCTTGAGGTATTTATTCTGCAAGACCCTGTACTCTATGGATCAGCTGATACCACACAGACCGGCTATCTGGCTCAGCCAGTTCTGCCATTGTACCCAGGAACAGAAGACAGCAAGGAAACCTCACTTTGACCTCCCTGTGATTCCATCTCCAGCCAGATCAATCAGCACTCCTACTTCCTGAGCCGCCAAATTATCTTTAAAAACTCTGATCTGCAAATTCTTGGGATGTCTAATTTGAGTAATAATAAAACTCCAGTCGCCCGCACAGCTAGCTCTGTGTAAATTACTCGTTCTGCATTGCAATTCCCCTGTCCTGATAAATCCGCTCCATCTAGGCAGCCGGCTAGGTGAACTCACTGGGTGGCTACAAAAGCCAGAAGACTCAGCAAGCCAGCTTCTCCCACCCTCCTCCACCTGCTTTGTTCCAGCCACACTGTCAGCCAATCGGATGGTGCCCACCCACACTGAGGGTGGGTCTTCCTCTCTCAGTCCACTGACTCCAATGTCAATTTCCTCTGGCAACACCCTCACAACACACCCAAGAACAATACTTTACCATCCTTCAATCCAATCAGGTTGACAGCTAATATTAACCATCACAGGGTCTTTTCAACTTAGCTTGTTTCTCTATTAGATTACTGACTTCAGGGTGAAGCCCTTTAATGAATAGGGCAAAGGAGGCATTCTCTATGCCTGGAATCAGCATGGATAGCTCTGAAAAGAAGCAAGCCTACTTTACCTGCTTGAGGGCCTACTTTTAACTTTTTATAAACACTTTATCCAACTTATTACATATAAAAAAAGAAAAAACTTGGCCGGGTGCGGTGGCTCATGTCTGTAATCCCAGCACTTTGGGAGGCCAAGGTGGGTGGATCACCTGAGATCAGGAGTTCAAGACCAGCCTGGCCAACATGGTGAAACTTTGTCTCTACTAAAAATACAAAATTAGCCAGGTGTGGTGGTGCATGCATGTAATCCCAGCTACTTGGGAGGCTGAGGCAGGAGGACCGCTTGAACCTGGCAGGCCGAAGTTGCAGTGAGCCGAGATCAGGCCATCCCTTACACTCCAGCCTGGGCAATGAGAGCGAAACTCCATCTCAAAAAAAAAAACGAAATGGACATTTTCAAGTTACTCACAAAACCAGTGAGACTTAACCAAGGTAAATTAGCCAGGTGTGGTGGCATGCACCTGTCATCCCAGCTACTCGGGAGGCTAAGGCAGGAGAATTGCTTCAACCCAGGAGACAGAGGTTGCAGTGAGCCAAGATCGCACCACTGCACTCCAGCTTGGGTGACACAGCGAGACTCCATCTCAAAAACAAAGATTTAACCAAGGTAATGGCATAACGAAGGTCATGACTTAACCAAGGCTGAACCAAGCATCTCCAAAGAAATGCAAAGCAGTCTTCCTAAGCGTCAGAACCACTCTAAAGACAGCTCAGAAAAAGAAATCTTGCTGCTCACACCTGTAATCCCAGCACTTTGGGAAGCTGAGGTGGGTGGATCACTTGACGTCAGGAGTTCGAGACCAGCCTGGCCAACATGGTGAAACCCCATCTCTACTAAAAACACAAAAATTAGCCAGGCGTGGTGGTGAGCACCTGTAATCCCACCTACTTGGGAGGCTGAGGCAGAAGAATTGACTGAACCTGAGAGGTGGAGGTTGCAGTGAGCTTAGACCATGCCATTGCACTCCAGCCTGGGTGACGAGAGCGAAACTCCATCTCAAAAAAAAAAAAAAAAAAAAAAGAAGGCCAGGCGCGGTGGCTCACACCTGTAATCCCAGCACTTTGGGAGGCCGAGGCAGGCAGATCACCTGAGGTCAGGAGTTCAAGACCAGCCTGGCCAACATGGTGAAACCCTGTCTGTACTAAAAATACAAAAAATTAGCTGGGCGTGGTGGTGGGCACCTATAATCCCAGCTACTCGGGAGGCTGAGGCAGGAGAACTGCTGGAACCTGGAAGGCGGAGGCTGCACTGAGCCGAGATCATGCCACTGCACTCCAGCATGGGCAACACAGCAAGACTCCGTCTCAAAAAAAAAAAAAAAAAACAGGACTGGAAATTGAACCCAGGCTGCAAACATAGCCTCATGTTTGTAGAGACTCATAGCCTCTGGCCCACAGGCTGGAGCACTGACAAACCCTGCAGGGGCTCCAGAGCAGGCAGTTTGAGCATTTAAAGGGTTTTGACTTGTTTCAGATCTGATCTCAGCTGAACTAATTCCCTGGATGTTAGCATTTTATTTTTTTAATTTCCCTCCCTCCTTCCCTCCCTTCCTTTCTCTTTTTCTTTTTCTTTTTGGCAGCATCTCGCTCTGTCGCCCAGGCTGGAGTGCAGTGGCACCATCTCAGCTTACTGCAACCTCCACCTACTGGGTTCAAGCGATTCTCCTGCCTCAGCCTCCCGAGTAGCTGGGAATACAGGTACATGCCACCACATGTGTTTTTAGTAGAGATGGGGTTTCACCATGTTGGCCAGACTGGTCTTGAACTCCTGACCTCATGTGATCCACCAGCCTTGGCCTCCCAAAGTGTTGGGATTACAGGCTTGAGCTAACATTTCTTTTCTGGCCTATTTCTTTTATTTTTTATTTTTTATTTTTGTTGTTGTTGTTGTTTTGGGTTTTTTTGAGACGCAGTTTCCTTCTTGTCGCCCAGGCTGGAGTGCGATAGCGCCGTCTCGGCTCACTGCGACCTCTGCCTCCCGGATTCAAGTGATTCTCCTGCCTCAGTCTCCCAAGTAGCTGGGATTACAGGAGCCCGCAGCCACTCCCCGCTAATCTTTTTTTATTTTTAGTAGAGACGGGTTTTCACCCTGTTGGCCAGGCTGGTCTCGAACTCCTGACCTCAGGTGATCTGCCCAATTTGGCCTCCCAAAGTGCTGGGATTACAGGTGTGAGCCACCGCACCCAGTCTGTTCCAAATTTAAATATACTTTCCCCTTTTTGAGAGAAGGAAATGTGTGCATTGTGGAATTCCAAAAACACTGCTTAAGAGATGTATGGGAGCTGAGGGAACAGGCAGAAAGAGATGAGTTTAGATCATCCCAGAGGCAGAAGGAGAAGCAGCAGCTGGAAACAAACAGGAGAAAGCCTCCATGGTCTTTTTGTTTGTTTGTTTTTGTTTTTGTTTTGAGACAGAGTCTCACTCTGTCACCCAGGCTGGAGTACAGTGGCGCCATCTTGGCTCACTGCAACCTCCGCTTCCTGGGTTTCATGTGATTCTCTGCCTCAGCCTCCCAAGTAGCTGGGATTACAGGCGCCCGCCACCATGCCCGGCTAATTTTTGTATTTTTAATAGAGATGAGGTTTCACCATCTTGGCCAGGCTGGTCTTGAACTCCTGACCTCGTGATCCACCCACCTTGGCCTCCCAAAGTGCTGGGATTACAGGTGTGAGCCACCTCACCCAGCCTGAAACTACTTCTAAATTTTAAAAAGAACTGTGGATGGCTGGGCGTGGTGGCTCACACCTGTAATCCCAGCACTTTGGGAGGCCAAGGCTGGTGGATCACCTGAGATCAGAAGTTCGAGACCAGCCTGGCCTACATGGTGAAACCCTGTCTCTACTAAAAACACAAAACATTAGCCAGGCATGGTGGTGGGTGTCTGTAATCCCAGCTACTGGGAGGCTGAGGCAGAAGAATCGCTTGAACCCGGGAGGGGGAGGTTGCAACAAGCTGAGATCGTGCCACTGCACTCTAGCCTGGGCAACAAGAATGAAACTCTGTCTCAAAAAAAAAAAAAAAAAAATTGCGAGGCAAGGTGGGGGATGCCTGTAATCCCAGCTCAGAAGAATCGTTTGAACCTGGGAGGCAGAGGTTGCAGTGAGCCAAGATCACGCCAATGCACTCCAGCCTGGGTAACAGAGCAAGACTCTGTCTCAAAACAAACAAACAAAAGAAATAGTTTCAGATAATCTTCTGTTTTCTTCTTGCAAAGAAATGACTTCATCAGAACTTCTTTTAGAAGCTTCTAAGTATCATTGAAAAATAGCTCTCTCAGTTTTTAAATTTTAGATGCAGATTTTTCCTATTGAGTGCATAAACTAGTTACTTTAAAGGCGCCCCATTTTAGCTATTATAGTCTGGGGTCTTCACGGGTTAAGTGAGACCATGTTTCTAGATACTGACAGAAGGTGGCACCATAAGCATTGTCCACGAATCCAGCTGCCGTCTCTGCAGATGCATGTCTGCTCTAGAAGCACAAGTGTCCATAATTTAGATTTTCCTTCTGAATGACCAAAAATGCCTAAGGGGAGGAATTTTGGTCACTAAAGAAGAAAATGGCCAAGCGCGGTGACTCACGCCTGTAATCCCAGCACTTTGGAAGGCCGAGGCAGGGGGATCACGAGGTCAGGAGTTCAAGATCAGCTTGGCCAAGATGGTGAAACCCCAACTCTACTAAAAATACAAAAAATTAGCAGGGCATGGTGGCAGGCGCCTCTAATCCCAGCTACTTAGAAGGCTGAGGCAGAGAACTGCCTGAACTGAGGAGGCAGAGGTTGCAGTGAGCCGAGATCATGCCACTGCACTCCAGCCTGGGCGACAGAGCGAGACTCTGTCTCAAAAAAAAAAAAAAAAAAAAAAAAAGAAGAAGAAGAAGAATGTTTAGATTTGTCAGTTGAACCAAGTTTCAGAATATGGCCAGTTTTAAAGATGACACTTTCTCCTTGACCAAATTTCGAATGAGAGAAAAGGCTGCAAACTGTAAAAAGACAAGCAAAACCTCAGACAGAAGTGAAAATCACAAATCTGCAGTCAACAGAATCTCTAGAGAATAAAAATGGAAACTCCTACCTTTCAGTGGAGCTTCAGTTCTAACCCTATCAAATTATTAGTGTGTAAGTCTCAATCTTCAACTAAGCTGGGAGGATTCAGATCCCAAGACTGGCCTTACCAGAGACCCCTGCCAGCCCCAGTGAGGTCGAGTAAACAACAGTCGTTTGTGCTGGTACCAAGGCTCCAACTATTGATGCCACTACTTAGTGGCAATCCCTGAAGGCCTGCTTCAGGTCCTATCTGGGTTGCCAAAATGTCAACCTCAAATAATGAAATTCAGGAAATATGATTAAGTATAGAGTTTATTTGAGCCCAAAGCTTGAGGATGGCTCCCTGGGCACATGCCCCTAGGTTGCCCTGAACATATGTTCCCATTAGCAGCAGTCACAGTGGGGTTTTAAGGAAAAGGAAGAGGCAGTCCCTAAGTTGTTAGCAAGAATTTGCATTAAAATAACAGAAGGTGCTGATTGGCTATGCATCGTTCTTAGCATCACTAATTCCATGTGAACAAGAAGATAATGGGTGAGGCAGCCTGTCAGGAGCAAAAATTCCATCAAACAATTGCCCTGGACAGTTGCTTCTATGGTGGAAGAGGCGCTGAATGAAGTCCCACACTCCTGCCTCTCTGGGCCTGATCATTCTGCACACCTCACAGAGCTCAGACTACCCTATTTTTCTTTTCTCAGGAAAAATGGGTGGATGGTACTGGTGGCCCTGCCTGGTCTGATCATCTACCCTGGTTCTAGTAACCAGATTAATTCCTTGTAATAGAGCTGTGGATTTCAGTTCAGTTCCCACGCACAGACCTTACCTCTGCTTTCTCCGACCACTTCTCCCCCACCCCAGGTACTTCACAGCTGAGAGCCTCTTGCCAGCTTCCAACTCTCCAGCAGTCTTTGTTCCCAGACCGTGTCCTGAGGCTGCACTTTCTGGACATGCCCACCTGCTGGACTGGCATCTGTCTTGTCACTTCTCTGGCCTCACCTCTGCGAAAGGAACACAAAAGTCAGGACCCCAGTTCACTCTGTCAAAAGGAAAAGAATGAGCTGAAAGCTGAGTCATGTAAGCAGCTGCCTTTCCTTTCGTTCCTAAGCAGACGGCTACAGATAGAAGGTTCAACATCCGCTTCTCTTATGTAAAGTGCTGATTTGCTGAGGAGTGAGCTGTACACAGTCGACTGTTCCCAACCTGCTTCTTTTCTCTTGCAACGTGTGGATTACCACACTGTTCCGCTTTCCCCTCCAGCCCACTTTTCCCCTTTAAATACTGAAGCCCTCAAAGTCATCTTTGGAGAAAGGCACAGACCACAGACTGTTTCTGTGATACCGTGTTTTTTTTCCTCCCAGGCATTGTCCTTAACCTTGGCAAAATAAACTTCTAAATTGATTGAGCCCTGTCTCAAGATACTTTTTGGTTTAAACCTCTGAGGCCCTACTGTTTCTAATACAGGTTTCCAGTTTGCTCATCTTTCCCAGGTAGGAAGATGCTCTGTTGCCAAGAGAAATGCAATTCTAACACGCAAATCCGCCCAAACACTAGAGCTCAGCATTCAGCTCTAGCCGAGCTAAGAGGATCCCATGGTCCTGCCCCACAGTCTGGGGCTCATCTTGTGGAGGAGGTAAGTAAAATAGGCCCTGTCTCTCTGACTTCTACCTAATCAGAGTTGATAGTTGCGTTGGAAATTAGGTAAATCGCAGGTGAGTTGATGAATGTGGGAAACCAGATGAAAATGGCTGCTTGATGGGGTTAAAACGCAGGAGAGGAATAGAACCCTTCCAACGGAATGGTTCCAGCCTTGTGACATGAGGAGACTGAAAGGGTATCCCAGAGGCAGGTCACTGGCCTTCCAGCTCCACCTGTGGGTGGCCTTGGCCAGGCAACTGCAAGAGTGCAGGGCCCCGGGGAGGTCGCACCTGGCAAGCGCTGAGGGAGGGTAAAGCGGAGAGGGGTGTGAGAAGAGAAAAACAACACAGAGCGTCCGAGCTATGTGAGGCGTGCGAGGTTAATCCGGCCCGGAGAGACAGGTCTATGCGGCTTCAGCGGTCCCCACCCATGCCTGGCAATTGTTTAAAGGCACTATTGCTCCGGACCCGCTGCCTTCACCCATGAACTTCCTTTCCTGGAATTATGATATAAAGAACAACGTACAGCCAATTAATAGCTTGTTATTTTCATGTAAATTCTTGGTGAGCTATTTAAGAACTGCCCCCCTCTTAAGCTTTATAAACCCACTTGTCACTGTTGCAAATCCTATGTTCAGGGCAACTTGAAGCTATGCTCCCGGGTTGCAATCTTCAAACTTGGCCCAAATAACCTCTCTACTTATATCAAGTTTGCCTCAGCTTTTTTTTTCTTCTAGGTCGACGGTTCCCGCCCCGCAAGGGTGCAGGGAAGGGGACGCCCGCACTTCCTAGTGCTCCCTTAGCTGGGGTCGAGCTGAGCGCCCCCCACCGAGCCCCAGGCGGCTCTGTGGAGAAGCCCCTCGGCCCCGGGTTCGGTCTGCACTGCCAGCCCCCAGTCCCCGGCGCGCAGGATCCAGCAGGGCCAGCGCCGGGCGGGCGAGAAGGCGAGAGAGCTAGGGCCGGGCGGGGAGGGCACCGGCAGGGGGCGCGGGTTCCCAGGACCGAAAAGGCGGAGCCTCCCACGCGCACTACGTGCTCCCTACGCGCATGCGTCCCGCCCACGCGCAGGCAGCACCTCGCCTGACTGGGTAGCGCTGCCACGTCGGGGCGGGGAAGAGCGTCGTCGCGTCCGGGTGACGTCTCCCGCGGGCGTCGGCAGGGTCGGCGGCGTCGGCAGCAGTGTCGACGGCAGCGGCGGCGGCGGGTGGGAAATGGCGGAGTATCTGGCCTCCATCTTCGGCACCGAGAAAGACAAGTGAGTGGGAGCCCCCCGCCGGGGGTTGGGCGCGATCGGGGCGCAGGGTGGTTGAGGCGGTGGGAGGGCGACCGGGGAGGCCCAGGCGGGCCGGCGCGGCGGTGGCGGGGGAGGGGCGCGCGGCGGGAAGGAGCGGTGGCCCTTCCGGCCCCTTGCGCGCCCTCCGGAGCCGCCGCCTCGTGGGCCGCGCGGCGGAAAAATGGAGCGGGGAGAATGAATGGGGTCTCTTTTCGGGGCGCCGCGGCCGAGCTTTCTCCGGCCTTGGGGTCCGAACTGGCTGATCGCCCGACGTCCGGGCCTCCGAGTCGCCGGCTCCCGGAAGCCGCCTCGAGCCGCGCTGAAAGTTGCCTGGAGCATCCGGGCCTTTTGGACGTGGACACGTTTGTTCCAACTTTCGGCTGTGAATGTCCTGTCGAGCAAGCTCTGGTACCAGCCTCGCCAGTATTCAGTCGCTTATCTAACTTAGGGTCCTAAGCGTTGGTGTTTTATCCACTTAGCCAGCCTCTTGCCTGTTTAAGCGACCGCTGGGCCGGCAGTAAGGAGATATGACGAGAAAAAGTATGGTGGAGACTACTGGATTAACTATCTAACCACAAGAGACGTGATCCGCTCTTAACATACAGGTGCTCCTGGATTTACCATGGGATTGCGTTCCGATAAACCCATCATGAATCGAAAATGCCTTTAATACCCCGATAAACCCATCATCTAAGTTGAAAATTTGTAAGTCGGTGACTGTTCTTGAAGACACAATTCTGATATAAGGAAAAAGATGTTTTGATTTTTTCCTTAAGGTTGCATGCCTTCCCTAATCAATCGTTAGGTTAAAAGCAAAACATTTAATTTCAGCTTTAATTGCCACCTTGGCACGTACTAATTTCCAGTGAGTTGGCTGTAGTTTAGACTAAATGGAATGTTTTCAGACGTTTGAAGGATAATTCTTACTTTGAAAACCTAAAGACTCAGCATCTGGCTTAATCTACTCTTTAGTTATCTTGGCATTCTTCAGTGCCATACAAAGTTAACATGACTTTATGTTTTCAATGATAAACCCCTAAGTTTGTCATAGATGTTTTTAATGCCACTTTTTTCAAACGCTATTTAAAATGTTTCTCTTTTCCAGGATGGAGTCTATCTTGTAAAATGTCCTCTTCACACATGGTAGAATCTCCTGTGTTGTTTGGATGAGGAGGCTATATTTCTAGCAAAATTTTAAGCCAAAATCTACCAGTTATAGTCACTCCAGAAACATTTAGTGGGGGTCAACTATAGGTCAGTTTCTGGAGACTTAAACATGGGTAAAATTTGGATATTATCCTTAAGGAACTCACGGTATGATCTTGGCGAATGAATAGACCAGCTCTATCGGAACAAGAGACTCTTCTGAGTTTAGGGTGAAGAACTAACACATGTAGGATCGGGGCATCATTAATTTCTCCTTTTCATATTTGCATGTGGCATGACTTCTGTCTTGTAAAAGTCTATCTCCCTATATTTCTGCTATAAGCAACCACATTTCAATCTATTGGGCTATACTATAAAGGTCATGGTTTTAATTCAGAAAAGTTGATTATTTAATCTAGGTTACTTGTGTTTTCTTTTCAGGGAGACGTGGGGTTTTAGCTTCCAGGGAACAGGATCAACTCCTGAAAAATGAAGCTGATGGTTCATATTAACTTTAATTATTATTTAAGCTAAGAATAAAATATAGATCTCTACCAATTAAAAAATGTTTAGCTTATTATATGTTTGAAGTTATAGATGTTTTCTAGATTCAGGGATATCCTAATAGCTTGTCTGTAGTTTAATTGTGTGGAATAATTGGATATTAATTGTTGAGGCCCAGGGCTTGCCCATTCTGAGGTAGTTTTTAAATAAGCTTTCTTTATTTTTAGATGACTTCCTAAAGATATGCTATTGTCTAATCAAGTTAAATAATCTCAAGACCTGTAAGTTTGCAAATATATATAATCACTTTCCTCTCCTGATAAATTTGGACTTTCCCATCTTTATTGCTACCTGATAATAAATCAGTGGCTAGTCAGTCTTCATGGTCCATCAGATTTCACTGAGGTTGAGGCCCTTCAATCTTAACTCTGGATTGACTGTTTAAAACATAATGGCACTTGGTTAAAAAAAAATTGAATTTTGAACAAAGTCTGTCTGGTAAGATGTCCTAATTCATCAGAGATCGGCTTCCCTCCCTGACATTGCTGGCACACAGGCATGATTGCTGGTTCCATTGGATATGGATCTGGATTGTCAGCGTATTTGAACAGTATTAAGGGAGGGTTTTGCAGTAGAGACAGAAGGTGACGTAAGGTGGTTCCTAAGGTGGGTTTGGTCAGTCCCCTAATAGTTTGTTTTCAGTGTATTGAGACCAGGAGAATTGATTTACTTCAGACCTATTTTTTGAAACTCCCTGTTGGTCTGGTGTCATGCGTTTAGAGAGACTCTGAACTTCGTTTTCTGTTTTCCTTAGATAATGATAGCACTTCATGAGCACCATATGTGAAGCACACATACGTTCTGTCTGACTCTCAGAACAGTGCCACATTGGCATTGTCATCATTTACAGATGACATCTGAGAGCTAGGGTGACTTGCCCAAGCCCAAGCAGCTGGTAGCAGAGTTGGGATCTTAACCCTCACCACACCGGTCTTTTCAAGAGAGAACTTGGTCGTGGAGAACTGGAGAACAGATACTGCCTAAGTTACATTTAGTTTTAGACTAATTTAATACTCCATTTAAGAAACAAACAGAACAGCTGTGCAGTTAGGAAAGTGGAGGGGATTTGAATGAGGAGGAGGCGGGTTAGAGTTAGAACCGTCTTTGCTGAACAAGTAGTGTGTTTGCAGAAAGGGAAGTTGAAGTTACGTTGTCCTAAAATACAGCAAGGAAGAGGAGGTGCTTAATACCACGGAAAAAAGTCTGTGTCATGTTTCTGTGAGGTTAAAAGTAATTTGATAGTGTATGTCATGCTGCTGACATATTCCATGTGTTTGATATCTTCCCAGCAAAATAATCAGCTCTCATTTTCCCTTACAGAGTCAACTGTTCATTTTATTTCAAAATTGGAGCATGTCGTCATGGAGACAGGTGCTCTCGGTTGCACAATAAACCGACGTTTAGCCAGGTTTGTTTGCCTTTTTTTCATGTAAATTATAAAAACTTCATGTTCTTTTCAAAGACAGTTAATTTCTACATATTAAGCAAGTCATTTTTTCTCTCGTAGTTGTATTTTCCATTTGTGTTCATAAGTGTGTTCTTTTATTTAAATAATAGTGAGGCAGGTGATCGACTTCCAGTGGAAGGTCTGAGACCACCACTCCTTGTTTTTATCATTAGAGAAACTTTAAAAATCAGTTTTTGATGTTTGTGTGTTGGCTGTGCCTGATATTTGCTGCCCTGCCATCTTCCCTACCCCCTCTGATAGACATGGGTCCAGAGGGGGTGGCCGTGCCAGCCTTGGGTTAGCCTCCTCCAGGCACCAGTGGACACGGAGTGGGCTTTCTGCTCTTTGCTGTCTCCAGACAGTAGAGGTGATGGAGCCATCTTCCAAGTTAGCGTGATTGTCACCAGGCCCATCATGCTGCTCGAGCTTCTCTGGCTGCGTCCTCACTTTCACATCCCTAGCTGAGGAAACAGCGAGTCGCATCACGTCATGGAAACATGAAAAATTAAGCTGAAAGGTAGAAAATGGGCCGTAAATTGCTCTTAGCGGGTCTGTTTGGTTAATTGAGGAGTGCCTGTTATCTTGGGCTTAGATCCGCTCTGAGTTCAGTTCAATCAAAAGTTGTGAGTTTTGATAGTTTTATTTTTGGTTAGTTGAAGAAAAGGCAAAGGTTGGTACACTATAAAGGATCACTTACGGATTAAAGGGAGAAGGCACCTCTAATCGGAGCAGAAAACTTGTGCCCACGTTGATGAGAACATTTGAAATTTGAAAATCGATGCCCAAGTCTTTCCAGATGGAGGGCTGGGGAACTCCTTCCAACCCACCCTTGAAGTCTAAATGTGCAGCCTCTGAGCTGTTGAGTAGCTATTATGCGTGGTCCCTGGGAGCTGCCAGGCTCTGCCTTTGAGCTCACATCTGTCTGTATACGTTTTCCTGTAAGCATTTAAGAAAATCTACCACTTTGTGTAAGTGAGCTGGGAGAAGGAAACATGGGTTTTTTCCGGTTGAAGCCCATGGACGACCCCACAGCACACAGTGTTTTTAGAAGGGAAGAGGATGATGGCTTTTCCCTCCATTATGCTAATTACCAAGTGGTTAGTATAATAGCAGTCTGTCTTTTGATAGCTCTGAACATGAGTTTCTTTTTACAAATTTCAAAATCTTGGAGAACTAGCTTTACATTTTCTGTGTATTGCAATTGTTTTTTCTTTAATGTTTTGATTTATGAACCGAATCTCCCCTAACTAAACCAGTGGCCATGGATTGTGGTATAACCAAGCATCTTAAGTGACCACCCAGTTCTTTGATTTTGGGGGGTGTCCCAAGTGTTGGGCTGAGAGAAATCAACTGTTCCCTATTCTAAAAGTTTTCTTTAATCTGGCTGGAGGCACTTTCTTTATGTTTTTCTGGATCATAGATTACCTGAGAATGTGAAATGTGAAGTTAATTTAGGCATTCCAGGTCAGTGCTGGGGAGAGCCCATTGGAGCTCG
Organism: Homo sapiens; assembly: GCF_000001405.40. NCBI lineage: Eukaryota > Metazoa > Chordata > Mammalia > Primates > Hominidae > Homo > Homo sapiens. The sequence goes on along the minus strand of NC_000021.9, from coordinate 6,494,458 downwards.
ATGGGGTCAGTAGTATGTGTCAGCTTAAGCATCCTAGTTTGATGCGTGGGTTTGTTTTGGTTGGTTTTAGGCAATCCTAGCCACCCTTGGCTTTCCCATTAGACTGCATTGCCTCTTTACGTTAAGCTTCCTTCATTAAATAGCCACTGCCAGAATACCTGAGTGAGACCAACTGAATTTTACTGTTGAATAATTGGGCTCAGTTTAGCTTTTCATCAGGGTTGTCATGGTACGGTCATTTCAGTTCAAAGCTGAGTCAAGTCAGCTTTGGGAAGCCTCCCAGGCCTGAGTTCAGTTGACTCAGGGCTGTACTTGGCGGCTTATGGAAGAAACGGGGCCCTGATGCAGGTCTGAGTGGTTCAGTGTGGACAGTTTGTCAGACCTCCCTCTTAGGTGGGGTGGGCTTCCCAGCTGCACACCTTTGACTGAGGAACTCTTCATACAACCACTCCCCTTTAAACAGAGCTAGAAATGGAGCTGGCTGGTTTTATAAAACCACCACTTACAAAACTGCTTCACGTGGATATTGTTGAGACTAAACATTTATTTTTCTAAATCATGCGAGTGATTGCTTTAGCTTGTAAATCTCTAGCATAATTCAGGGTGGGTTTCTTTATAAGCTGCTTACAGTGATATGGACGTTAAGATTCATGTAATATATTAGCCTACTAACTTAAACATGGTTTGTTTTTTCAGACAACTTGATTTTAAGAAGAACGGTACAGTGTAAGGTTTCAAGTCTGCCTGATCCAGTTTAAAGCACAAGGGCTAAAAGGATTTTTTTTCCTTAAAAGAAGGATCGGAAAAGAGCAAATGTTTTAAGCTATTGTATTATGTAAACAGAGATCCCACCAAGAAAGTGTAAATCAGAGCCGGGTGTCCATGACAGTTGACAGACCTGTTTGGTGTGCCTGTTTTGCTAGGAGACCAGAGAACTTGATGTACTGCAGACAGCTGAGTTACGCATTTGGTTTTGAAAAATTATCTTGTGTGAGGAATATGATTATAACGTGAATTTTTCCACATCTTGGTGTCTGCTAGCTTGAAGTACAAGAAAATATTAGTATTCTACTATTTATCTTGCATTAAAACACTTTAACATTGAAAACGTGGGACTAATCAAAACAATACAGTTTCTTCTTGGTTGCTGGCTGACTTGACCCAAGTCACTGCTCAAACTCTGTTTTCATAATATGATGGTTTTGGTGTACTCTTCAGAAGACAAATGTCTGACTTGCGGGAAAAAAACAAACGTTTAGCCATTTGCAAACAAATTGTCTCTTTGCAATTGTCTAATATATGCACAGCAGCCAGTAGAATTCCCCTTTTTATTTTTTTTTCCCCGCAGACCATCTTGATTCAAAACATCTATCGTAATCCCCAAAACAGTGCACAGACGGCTGACGGCTCACACTGTAAGTCCCACAGTTGGAGAAATTTTTTTAAAACAATGGTGTTAAAGAGCCCACTCTTAATTGAGACAAATAATGTTGGCTTCTGAGCTGCTGACATAGAGCTGTTGCAAACAGGACAAGGTGCTGGAACTCCTTGGCGCACACAGCAAGAACTTGATACTTGGCCACGTTCAGGAGGCTTATCCCTTCTAGGGAGGGTCACTGGCCCGGCCACCTCCATTGATTGACATTTGTCATGAGAGCAGGTCCGTCCATGTGAAACGGATTTCAACATTTTGAGCCATTCATTGGTCTTTACAGTGACTGAACCCCTGGCCTTTATTAAGTTCTTTGTGTAAAATTAAAACTCTTAGGAATATTAAGGAATCAATAAGGTAAGTTGCCCAGTAAGTGTGGGTTTTATTTCACCATTATAATTTTTCCTCCAGGAAGTGGAGATTTCATGATATGTAACAATTGTATTTCTCTAATACAGTAATTTTTTCCATCAGTTTATGTAAGCATTATTCTTTCCGAGTTCATTAAAAATTTTCTGCCACATCTAAGAACATTTTGGTGCTAGCCTGGCAAACTATTTGTGCTTTTACCTGAATTGGAATTTTGAAAAGGAGAGTTTTCACGTTCTGTAAGCAGAAGTACAAGATGGGCATATCATGAGACCTCCGTTACACCGCAGTGTTAGGGATTCAAGGCAGCCGCCAACTGAGAAAACGCCTCTGCTTCTCCAGAAAATAACTTGCTCTCTTTTCAGCACTGAATCTCAACTGAAGCACTTGCCAGAGGCAGCCGGTTAAGTGTTTACCTTTAATTTTCCATAATATAAAGTTGTTGCGTTTTGTATTTCAGACCATTGCCCTCTTGAACATTTACCGTAACCCTCAAAACTCTTCCCAGTCTGCTGACGGTTTGCGCTGTAAGTTCATACAAGTTCCTTCCCCGGTTCCCTGGGCTTGCGTGTCAGAGCTCAGTGTCCACTCCATCTGGTCTGCCGTGCTAGTGTCAAGGACCGCGTTTCACTAGAGGTGGCAAGGAGCTTTCGTCCCACTGACCCCATGGAAACCTCTTTTGGAGATTTGAACTCCCACCGTGTGTTAAAAGGGAAAAAGTAACTGGAAAGGGTGCCCTTTAAAACAGTCTAGAGCTGGGCCGGGCGCGGTGGCTCACGCCTGTAATCCCAGCACTTTGGGAGGCCGAGGCGGGTGGATCATGAGGTCAGGAGTTCAAGACCAATCTGGCCAACATGGTGAAACCCCATCTCTACTAAAGATACAAAAATTAGCTGGGCGTGGTGGCAGATGCCTGCAATCCCAGCTTCTAGGGAGGCTGAGGCAGAGAATCGCTTGAACCCGGGAGGCGGAGGTTGCAGTGAACTGAGATCGTGCCGCTGCACTCCAGCCTGGGCGACAGAGTGAGACTCCGTCTCCAAAAAAAAAAAAAAAAAAAAAAAACCAGTCTGGAGCTGCTGCTGCCCCTTCTTCCTTTACTTTGGCCGTCATCCTAGAGGGAATGTACTGGAATTAAACGTCGAGTCATATTCTTCCCTCTTAGAGCAACAAAATTTGAATGTTTCTCTCACTTTCTGGAATTTTTAAAAAGCAAACTTTTTAAGTTATTTTTTCAGATTTTATTTCTCATTAGCCTTTTTTCCTTGAACTCCATTTTGGAGTGCACCCTGTAGTTGTAAGAGCATTGTGCTGAGAGCGTTCCCCAAATGAGGGTCTGCAGCTTGCACTGACCCCTGAGTTCCTCACCCACCAGCCCCGTGCCGACCCGTCTAACCCGTGTGGGGGTGCTCCACTCAAATAGGCCCTTGGCAGAAAAGATTGTCCGTTCTGTCCACACACTGCCTGGATACAGTCTCCAGCTCTAGGAGATGGAATTGGTTTGCTCCATTTAGAAATAGATCAAAACTGGGCATTCAGTAGATGGTACCAATATCTTCCTGTACTGGGAAATACTAAATTTAGATTGTGAATATTTACCTAATGATAATTTTTAGAGAAGGAGATATCATAGATGAGTATGATTGGGAAGTTCAGAAAACTAAAATTTGATTTTTACAGCCATCCAACTATAGAATCATTAGAATTTAGTCATTTATGGATAAATTAAAATGAACACCTGGACTCTTGTTAAAATCAGAAAGTCCAAACCAAAGATAGGCACTTCCCATTCACCATTCTGTTTTAAAGCAGTAAAAATTGAGGTGCCCTTGGATATCCACAAGCCTAAATTGAGTACACCCTTGAACCAGAGCCCCTCAGTTAATGGGGTGACCGACATGGGGTAGCTGATCCCAGGGGGCATTCCCCTCTCGAGCTGGCCCTGCACTGGGTGGCCTGGGGATTGTGCTTCCTTGCACAGTGGTGCACATTTCTATGTGTGGATGAGATTTTCTTGTCAACTTTTCCTGCCAAGACACTAAATGCTTTTCAGTGCTAATACTGACCTGATAGTAGAGATTTCTTTCCCTGAGTCGGATGGTAGCAGGATTTACTTGGTAACCCTTGGTTTAAAATACCTGTTTTTTTGTTTGTTTGTTTTCTTTTGTTTTTTAAGGAAATAAGATCAATAGGCGGAGGGAAATTGTTTCTATATGCACTTATTAAATAATTTTTGTTAACAACCCTGCCCTGGGATAAAAGTGAATGGAAGTACATGACTGAGTAACAGTAATTAATTCTTTGCCCTGATCGTTTATTTGGGGACTGTATATGCTTTCTTGACTGACAATAGAATGTTGTATTAGTTTTCATTGTGTCTTTATTTGCAGTTCACAGCACTTTTGTTTTCCATATGCTACAAACTAAAAGTTTAGCAATTACGTTATATTCCAATTCTGGAGTCCAGATTGTACAAATTAGATGAAATTCTAATTCGTCATTTTAGGAAGAAATCAATTACCTAAAATTACTGGCTCTTTTCAACATACCCTTTAGTATGTAAAAAAATAAGCTTCAAATGCGTGGGTTAAAGTTAACTATCAATCCCAGTTTAAGAATGATATTTCTGTAAGAAAACTGCTTTATTTTCCAAGTTGTAGTATTTAACATAGGCTGAGTCACAAATAAGTTTTTAATTGTATCTTAATGCAGTTGTCTCTGCCTTTCAAGTCACTTTGATTGAAACATTTTAAGCAGAACAAATATAGCCAATAATTTAAAATAATCACCCCAAAACCATTTCTCAAACCTGCTAAAACTTTGAGCATGTGAATAATTTTCTCCTCTTCACATTCTTCTTATGTGGGAAGGAAGTGAATTTGAAATATTAAAATCTGCCCTTTGGAATAGGCTACTTTGGCCGTTTATAACTTGATTTCTACTCGGGGAGGAAGGTACATTCCCAATAGCTTTCCAATTGGGATATCCTGTGATATGATTGGCAGGCTGTCCGAGTAGTTACACTTAATAAAATTTGGGTTCGAAAGCAGATTCCTGGAAGTTCAAAAATAATTAAAACAGCCCCGGATAGGTTAGAAAGTGAACTTAAATCATTCTCAGAATTAGAAAATAAGAAGTTATTTTTTATCTTCAAAGATAAAAAGGGGGCCGGGCACGGTGGCTCACACCTGTAATCCCAGCACTTTGGAAAGCCGAGGCAAGTGGATCACGAGGTCGAGAGATTGAGACCATCCTGGCCAACATGGTGGAACCCCGTCTCTACTAAAACTACAAAAATTAGCCAAGATCACGCCATTGCACTCCAGCCTGGAGACAGTGAGACGCTGTCTCAAAAAAAAAAAAAAAAAAAGATAAAAAGAGTTTTGAGCAAGCTCAAAGACCCGTGTGCCAGCAGTCAGATGCCCACGTTGGGTGCACAGGCTAAGGCAGCCGGCCCAATCTGGAAACCAGTCAGGCTTTTGCCAGCCCCTAATCTAGCTGATTGGAACATGTTTGTTGATACACCAGCTCTGTGATTTCTCAGGTTTAGAGAACTCTAGAATTTGATAGAGTGGGCCGGGGGCAGTGGCTCATGCCTGTAATCTCAGCACTTTGGGAGGCTGAGGTAAGCAGATCACGTGAGGTCAGGAGGTTGAGACCAGCCTGGCCAACATGGTGAAACCCCGTCTCTACTAAAAATACAAAAATTAGCCAGGCATGGTGGTGCGCGCCTGTAGTCCCACCTACTTGGGAGGCTGAGGAAGGAGAATTGCTTGAACCTAGGAAGTGGAGGTTGCAGTGAGCCAAGATCACGCCACTGCACTCCAGCCTGGAGTGGACAGAGACTCCATCTCAAAAGAAAAAAAAATTAATTAAATTTGATAGAATGATGATGGGGATAGAGTGTAAATTTGCCAAATTTACCCACGCAACAGACATGATTTTACCTAATACATGTGAATTATGAAGAATAAACTGATGAAAATAGTTTGGGAATATAAAACTTAAGAATACTTGCGCCGGGCACGGTGGCTCACACCTGTAATCCCAGCACTTTGGGAGGCCGAGGCAGGTGGATCACGAGGTCAGGAGTTCAAGACTAGCCTGGCCAAGATGGTGAAACCCCATCTCTATTAAAAATACAAAAATTAGCCGGGCGTGGTTGTGGGCGCCTGTAATCCCAGCTACTCAGGAGGCTGAGGCAGAGAATCGCATGAGCCCAGGAAGCGGAGGTTGCAGTGAGCCGAGATTGCGCCACCGCACTCCAGCCTGGGCGACAGAGTGAGACTCCGTCTCAAAAAAAAGAAAAAAAAAAGAATGCTTTCATCAGCAAAACATTGTAACATTCCCTTTACTTGAGGGCGTCCACAATACCGTAAGGTTGCGTGAACTGTCCTACTGAATCTTCATGGTTGCTTGGATTTTAATCACATCAGAAGAATTTGAGAGCATACCATGGCTGGCAGTCCATAAAAGACTAGTTAGGAACATCAGCTTTTAATCATCGACCCTGCTTTCAGGTTTCATTTTAAACTTATAGAAGAGGGGAAGACATCAGTGTGCTTATTTGGCCTTTACTCTAAATCTTAAAAGGAAGAAAATTTTAATATTTCTTAGTTTGAGCCCAGGTGCGGTGTCTCACGCCTGTAATCACAGCACTTTGGGAGGCCAAGGCAGGCGGATCACTTGAGGTCAGGAGTTCAAGACCAGCCTGCCAACGTGGTGAAACCCTGTCTGTACTAAAAATTAAAAAAAAAAAAAAAAATTAGCCGGGCGTGGTGGCAGTCGCCTGTAGTCCCAGCAACTCCAGAGGCTGAGACAGGAGAATCGCTTGAACCCCAGAGGTGGAGGTTGCAGTGAGCTGAGATGGTGCCACTGCACTCCAGCCTGGGCGACAGAGCCAGACTGCATCTTGTGGGTGTAAAAAAAAAATTTGTAGTTTGAGAGTCAACTTTTTCCTCACAGTTTCTGAAAATGTGGCCCTTTTGATGCTGATTAAAGCTGGTTGTGATTTTAACACCTTAGTAGCCAGAATCGAGACTGTCATGGGGACATTTAAAATCTCACCACACTTGACACCATTCACAAGTAGCCATGTGGCTCAGTCTCCTGAGTGCTCCTGCAGAGTGCAGCTCTGCCAGGCTTTTCTCTAGATAATCTCGTGTGTGTTACTGTAGCAGTTTGAGTTTAAACACAAGAGTTCACTCGGTTAACATGTTCTAACCAGCAAGATTTCTGTTGTTTGCAGGTGCCGTGAGCGATGTGGAGATGCAGGAACACTATGATGAGTTTTTTGAGGTGAGAGAACTGAACTCTGTGACTGATAGACCTGTTGATCTTCTGTATCTGTTTGGAAGGATTTAAAATGTTTCTCTGCTAATAAACATACATGAGTTATATCTAATGACACTTTGTAGTGTATAACGAGTCTTAAACCACTGTGGTCTCCCTTCAGGAGGTTTTTACAGAAATGGAGGAGAAGTATGGGGAAGTAGAGGAGATGAACGTCTGTGACAACCTGGGAGACCACCTGGTGGGGAACGTGTACGTCAAGGTAGGAGCCAGGGCGAGACGGCGGCGTGGCCGCTTAGTGTGCCGGGGCCAAGGCCAACAGGCGAAAGCGAGACAGTGGTGCAGCCGCTTAGTGTGCCGGGGCCAAGGCCGACAGAGGATGGGGTGCCTGTCGCCATGCACCTTGAGATCCTGGATGCTCAGGCGCACAGCAGGGCTCAGGTGCACTGGCTCGGCGCCTACCGGCTGCGTCATATGTGGCGGTGGCCAGCCCACACGTGCGCCCAGCCAGCAGAACTGAAGGACGGACCGTACACCACAGCCATCGTTATTTCAGTGTAGAATATTTAGTACCTGTTGGTTTAGAAGCTGTGTGGACTAAGGAAAAGTTAGGTTTACTCACATGTTTGGTTTCTTTTTTCTTTTTTAGTGAATAAAACTTTATTTGCCTACACAGCCATATTTGCTCCTTTAACCAGTTGAATTTGAAAAATGAAGGCAACATTTGGCAAAATCTTGGACTATCTTGAAGTTAATCTCATTGAAAATAAAGGATTTTTCAATTATCCTGTAATACTATTCCACCTTACTATACCTGAGTGTGTATATCTCTCTCTGATACATACTTGGATTGGTAATTGAGAAAGTCTTATTAAAGCGTGGATGGCAAGCACTTCTGTTTTTGTCTTTTCAGTTTCGCCGTGAGGAAGATGCGGAAAAGGCTGTGATTGACTTGAATAACCGTTGGTTTAATGGACAGCCGATCCACGCCGAGCTGTCACCCGTGACGGACTTCAGAGAAGCCTGCTGCCGTCAGTATGAGATGGGGTGAGTGAGGAGTGGCCAGTGACGTGACTGAGCACAGTTCGGGGCCGTGTGCACACGAGGTAGTAAATGTCTCCTTCCAACCCACCCACAGAGAATGCACACGAGGCGGCTTCTGCAACTTCATGCATTTGAAGCCCATTTCCAGAGAGCTGCGGCGGGAGCTGTATGGCCGCCGTCGCAAGAAGTGAGTATTCCTGTGCCCGTTGTTAAGCTCAGTGGCTTCTTTCTCCCCTCACAACCCTCCCCCTTCCAAAAAAAAAATTTTGGCATAGGTGTTGTTTCTGTTTTTTAAAAGGCAGTGCTTAGAACATAGTACATATTTTTAAATATCCAAATGTCCTCTTTGGAGAAGAATATTCACCTGCACACAGGTAACTTCATTATCCAACTTCTCAAGTAGAGATCAGATCTTAGTAATCAAGCAAGAGGGCGGTTAGCTGGGCAGCCGCGGACATGAGGCTCGTGGTGAAAGTGGGCATGCAGTTTATTCTCCCAGATATTACGAAGAAGAAGAATAGATGTTGTAACCTCCTTTAGATCAGGGATGGCTTCCCTGGGACACATTGGAAGAAGAATTGTCTTGGGTCACAAATAAAATACACTAATGATAGCTGATAACTTTTTTTTTAATTGCAAAAAAAATCTCATAATGTTTTAAGCAAGTTGATGAATTTGTGTTGGGCTGCAGGTTGGACAAGCTTTTGCTTTACATATTTCACATGTCCACTGGGGTTTCTTTTGGTTTTGCTTGTTGGTTTTAGGGCATTTCATTATGTCTTGGGATCGCTGGCATCCTCCCTTCGGGACACTGGCAGAATCAGGCCCAGCGGTCACATCTCTCTGATCCTACATTTAAATGTACGACAGGTCACAGAGCAGAGAAAATCAAGACGTCAGAATCGAACCGATTGAGTTCTGAGTCTGGAGAGGTTCTCATCCCTCTTCTGTTAAACATGGACTAGTAAATAGATGGGTGGCGATTGTTTTATTGTCAGCATTCAAGAAGCATAAGAGAAAAACAGGCCTGCTCTCCCCAGCCCAAAAACCTGATGGACACAGTAGCTATGAGCGCCTGAAGCGTGGGGTCAGTGAGGGTTGAAGATGGTATGTGTCCAGCTCATTTTGATTATGATTTCCTGTGACCATTTGAGTTGGTTCTAGAAGAAGACAGAAGATGCAAGGTATTACACCTGTTCACTTCTAAGTTGCACATTTTTTTCTCCTGAAACTTTTCACACCTGAAATCAGGGTGTGTCTCAGTCACGGCGTGCAGTCTCTTCAGCAGTGTTTTTCCTTATCAGTGCCGTTGGCTTGAGGAGCTGCGCGTGTTGAGAGAGTGGGTGTGGTTCTGTGCTGCGTGCCGTGGTTTGGATGGCACGGTTTTCTTTATTTTCCTTGGTTGCAGGCATAGATCAAGATCCCGATCCCGGGAGCGTCGTTCTCGGTCTAGAGACCGTGGTCGTGGCGGTGGCGGTGGCGGTGGTGGAGGTGGCGGCGGACGGGAGCGTGACAGGAGGCGGTCGAGAGATCGTGAAAGATCTGGGCGATTCTGAGCCATGCCATTTTTACCTTATGTCTGCTAGAAAGTGTTGTAGTTGATTGACCAAACCAGTTCATAAGGGGAATTTTTTTTAAAAAACAACAAAAAAAAAAACATACAAAGATGGGTTTCTGAATAAAATTTGTAGTGATAACAGTATTCTTGGTGTAACTTATTTCTTGTGGAAGTTCTTTAAATTTCTTTTTCTTTATAAATCTGCTAGTCATCTTGGAGGTAAAGATTAATATCCATCCACCACTTTGAGTATAAATGAAATAATATTTTTTATCTTAGGGCATGAAATAAAACACATACCAGGTGAGATCTACATGCTAAATAATCCGGAATTTCTCGAGGCTGTCATGGAAAGCCTTTTGGGGTTTCTTTTCTAACTGGTTAGTGAAGAAGTGCTTAGCTATAATCAGTAGACACGCTGTAGACTGCACTGATGTTGGGAAGAAGGCTGATCTGTGGTGAGACACAGTGGGTGGGCCCGACCCATGTTACCTTCTCGTTCCTGCGAGTTTGTGTCAAGAACCCCATGTGTTCGTGGGAGGGAGCGTGGATGCTCACACGGCACACTGAGGGCCAGTAGTCCGTGTCCGTGTTTCCTTATGCCAATGGCTGTGGGAGACACAGAAGCCTGCGGTGCAGATCCGCCTTTAGACACTCTGGTATTACTTTCCCCAAGCTACTCGGGTGGCGCGTGCTGGTGGTGTGACTATGGTGACAGCCAGCTGACCGGTCTGGGGCACCTGCCACAAGTCAGTGCTGGGGGCTGAGCATTTCATTCCTAAGACCAAAACGTTCCAAGTGAGGCCATCCCAAACCATGCCCACGTGTCCACATACCTCATCCTCAAAAACCTCCTGGCTCTAGGTGGGAGTCACCCAGGCTCTCCTGCCCTGCTCTGCTCCTTGTGGGGGCTCAGTGACAGACCCTGCTGGTGGAGTAGGGGAGTGGCTGGGCCCTAACTACACACCCAGTGAAGATTGGCAGGACATACTACTTGACCATCTCATGAAAGCCCATTTGTATGTGATGAAGTTCAAGAAGGTGATGGTGTCGATTCACCTGGGAGGCTGAAGTGAGCTATGATCATGCCACTGCACTCCAGCCTGGGCAACACAGTGAGACCTTGTCTCTTAGAAAAAAATAGGTTTGTATACTATAGTAGTGGGCAGATAATTTTAGATGGGTTGGTGGCAGTGTTTGGCGATGTGGGTGGTGGGCAGAAATTTTAGATGGGTTAGTGGCAGTGTTTGGTGATGTGGGTGGTGGGCAAATGGTAATTTTAGATGGGTTAGTGGCAGTGTTTGGTGATGTGGGTGGTGGGCAAATGGTAATTTTAGATGGGTTAGTGGCAGTGTTTGGCGATGTGGGCCGTTTCGTTTATGTCCTTATACTCGACATGTTTCCAAAAAAAGTACAAACTTTTTTTTTCTTTTACCTTAACTTTGGTCAGTGATGGCCATTTATTAATTTCCACTCAGTCTGAAGGAGGGAAGATGGCAAAAGTTGTACTTTATATTTCTTAACCGCTAAGAATCAGAAAGCTTATTTAAAATATACATGACTTTGAGAGGCTGAGGCAGGAGGATCACTTGAGTCTAGGAGTTCAAGACCTGCCTGAGCAGCAAACATAGACCCCCATCTCAACAAAAAATCAAAAAATTAGCTGGGTGTGGTGGCACATGCCTGTGGTCTCAGCTACTCGGGAGGCTGAGATGGGAGGACCCACCCAAGCCTGGTAAGCCGAGGCTGCAGTGAGGTGTGATTGCCACTGTACTCCAGCCTGGGCAACAGAGTGAGACCCTGTCCCAAAAAAAAAACCAGTAAATGATAAAATGTGAATCAAAATGCCATAAAAAGTGTCTTCAGACATTGTAGTAAGAGGAGCTCACAGTCACACAGGAAGCCTGTCACCCTGGTCCCCACTCCCCCACCCCAGTGTGGGTCTATGATGCGGTTGAGGTGGGAAGGTGAGCATGACCCTGAGTGCCCATGAGGCACTGCTGCCCCTCTGGTGTGCGTGGATCATGGTTGAGAAAGAGCAGCCCAGTGAAATGAGTCCAGGCGGTCCACCAGTGGCAGATAGAGTTAAGCTTTTATACAGGTGCTAGGGCCAGGCAGATTGTTTTTAAAAAGGAAGAATATAAAAGCCACTTGAAATAATTTTGATTTATAATGAATTCAGGTCCAAATACCACTGTAAATTGTTTCTTACGTGAATATTATATGACGTTTGCTGAGATATAAAACCAAATGGCAAACAGCTGCCAGAATAAACTTTAAATACGGTATCAGCACATCTGATTCAACAGTGGTGTTGAATTATCTAAGTTACTGTGTGCTCCCTGCAGCAATTTTTTTTTAAGAGACGGAGTCTTGCTCTGTCGCCTAGGCTGGAGTGCAGTGGCACAATCTCGGCTCACTGCAACTTCCGCCTCCCAGGTTCAAGCGATTATATGCCTCAACCTCCTGAGTAGCTGGGATTACAGGCACACGCCGCCAGGCCCGGCTAATTTTTTGTATTTTAGTAGAGGTGGGATTTCACCACGTTGCCCAGGCTGGTCTCGAACTGCTGAGCTCAGGCAATCCACCTGCCTCGGCCTCCCAAAGTTCGGGGATTACAGGTGTGAGCCACCATGCCTGGCCTCCCTGCAGCATTCTTTTGCTTGCTGTTGAGTCAGGAGGACTAACAAGCTTACCATATGCATGTGCTTGTAAGTAGATAAGGATCATTTTAAATATTTCTGAAACCATGATTAATGGGGTCATTGCCCTGCTAATTGGAGAAAATCTGTTGCCTTCAAATGAACTGAGTATGGGGAAGGTATTGGTGGTGTGCCCACGGCAGTGTCTAAAGGGGTGATGGTGGTCACTGCCTCTTTTCTAGTTCAGGATTGAACTAGAATTTACCAAAAGGGAATAAACCTAAGAATGATTTCTGGAAAAAGTCTCAATTCAAAGCACAGAGGAAGAATAGAATTATAAAATCTGATTCTCGATCCTGTGCGATGGAAGGTAAGACTTTGAGTCTCAGAACACTAACAAGCCATGCGGGACGTGGCTATGGATGGCCCTAAAAAGCACTTTATTCCCAGACCGTGAATTTCACATTCCACCTAAATTTTACCAAAGACGGGATCAACATAAGATTTCTAACTTTTAATTTGCCAAGTGGGACTTTTTAGCTTGCTCTCAAGTTTCACCATCATTTCATGAAATAAAAGTTCTATTTTGGAAATATCTAAACATACATGACAGTAGGGAATGCAGTAATAAAGCCCACATGCTTTACCCTGCGCACCCAAGTTTGCATGCCTAACGCAGGGGACCCAGGAGAGGACAGCCGTCGAGCGTGTTCCGTGTTATGACGCTCCCTGCAGTGGCTTGTTATTTCATGTTTCCCAGGCTCCAGGGGTTCGCAGCCACCCAGTGGCCAGCACCGCCAGGACGCTGGGACATGCATGCACACCACGGGGTGAGCAAGACACAGTGCCTGCCTGGCGAATGCTGTGCCTCTGCCCTGGAGAAGCGGGGCTCAAATCGAAGCAGCACTTCCTAGGAACCACCGCTCTGTTCCCAGAGCTCCCTTCGGTCCAGATGAGCAGCCTGAGAAGTGAGAGGTCCAGGGGGATGGCGGGGTTAGAATCTCAAGGGCTTTGGAAATAGCAAAGCTGAACCAGGTTGTGGGGGCATGGAAGGTAAATTTTACCTGCCCTGAAAATCCAGACACCAGCAAGGGGAGTTGTGGTTGACATGGGACAAAGCAGGAAGAAAAGGGACCTCTTTAGCTCTTTATCCCAGTTGACCCACACAAGCTCTTGAGAAATAGGAGCGTCTCGCTCTGCAGAAGAGGGAACCGCTTCAGAGACCCTAAGTGGACCAGGCTGTCCCAGTGTGCTGTTCGCTGCAGGTGACAGACAATCTAACAAACTAGCTCCAACAACGAGAAGATGTGTTGGGCCGGGCGTGGTGGCTCACGCCTGTAATTGCAGCATTTTGGGAGGCCAAGGCGGGCGGATCACGAGGTCAGGAGATTGAGACCATCCTGGCCAACATGATGAAACACTGTCTCTACTAAAAATACAAAAAAAAATTAGCCGAGTGTGGTGGCACATGCCTGTAGTCTCAGCTACTCGGGAGGCTGAGGCAGGAGAATCGCTTGAACCCAGGAGGCAGAGGTTACAGTGAGCCAAGATTGTGCCACTGCACTCCAGCCTGGCTGATAAAGTGAGACTCCGTCTCAAAAAAAAAAAAAAAAAGATGTGTTGGCTTCTGTAATTAGGTCCAGTGGCCTTGCCCTGCTGAGCTCTGGTCTGTGCCGTGTGGGTTCCACATAACATTAGGCGAATAGCGAGATGGCCGATGCAGGCCATGACAGACACCCAGCATCTCGGTCTCATAGGCCCAAGTTGGCATCACTTATTTTTCCAACCTGAAAAAAAGGTCAGCTTCCAAATTCTATGAACTGAGTGTGATACTGATCAAAATGGCCCACAAAACTACAGGGGCCTCCCAGTTCTGAATATGGATGCAAAACCCCCACATCCAATATTAGCAAACAGTCCAGCAGCGTGTTAAGGTAAATCTGCCAGTAGTGGGTGTGATTCAATCCAGGAAGTCAAGGATGAATGCTATCAAATACTTCATCTGTTCTAAGTTTTCTTACGTTGTTTCTTTTATTTTTTGAGACAGAGTCTCACTTTGTCACCCAGGCTGGAGTGCAGTGGCACGATCTCAGCTCACTATAACCTCTGCCTCTCCAGTTCAAGTGATTCTTGCGCCTCGGCCTCCTGAATAGCTGGGACCACGAGTACACACCACCACGCCCGACTCATTTTTGTATTTTTCGCCATGTTGGCCAGGCTGGTCTCGAACCCCTGACCTCAGGTGACCCACCCACCTCAGCCTCCCAAAGTGCTAGGATTGCAGGCGTGAGCCGCTGTGCCCAGCCAACATTGTTTCTTATGGTTCCCCCAGTTACGCTTACGTTGCATCTCTTAGCTGGCTTCCATGTCTGTTATATTTTTAATTAGATGTATGATACATACAGCAAAGTACCTCAAAGCTAAACCTGGTTTAAAAGACAATTGCAAGGTGATCATCGTGGTCAAGAAGCAACACAAAGCCAGCATCCAGGCCAGCCCTCCCCGGCCATAAAATTCTTCCTCCCCCTAAAAGAAACAACTATCTTGACGTTTGCAATAATCATTTTGTTTTGCTTTTACTATTTTACAAACTACATATGGTTCACTAAACATGACAGTTTTGCCTGCTTTTAGAAGTGAAATCATGTATGATTTTGTCTGGCACAGCTTGTCCACAATATTCAACTGTGTTGGGTGTAGCTGGCCTAAGATTTGCAGCTGGTGGGTGCATCAGTCTGGAAAAAGCAAAGAATACAGCAGTAAGTAATGGTGCAGGTACAAGTGAGCAGCCGCAGCCAGGAGATAGGTGCGGAAAGAGGAGGAGGAGGGCACGTCCTGGCGCGTGGAGCAGTGAGGGCAGATTTCCTGCGGCAGGAACCAGGAACACACTGGGGTTGTCAGGAAAGACTAGCACCAGGTCACAACAGCCCTGAAATCCCAGGACTCATGTCCCGCTCACCTACATGCCTGCCATCGGTCCTGCAGCTCAGAGCTGTCTTCATGGGGGCCAGGCTGACAGGGCAGCCCCCACCCAAAATGCTGCCAGCTTACAGGGAGGGAGGGAGAGAGAGGGGTGATGAGAGAGAGAGAGACTTCTTGCTGGCGCTCTGGCCCCTGACCAGAATGACCTGCAAGCTGCACATGCCACTGGGTGAAACCAGGCCCACAGTCACTCAGGACTGAGTACTGGGGGGCCCCAGAGGGAGGGACCCTGGGCATCCTTCCCCAGGTGTTGAAGACGTGTGCTGGGAAGAGATCAGGAAAAGGTTGGGGAGGACGCCAGGGAGAGCTCTCACAGGGCCTCATGGGCCATGGGAAGGACCTGGAATCTTTTTTTTCCCTAGAAACAGGGTCTCATCATGTTGCCCAAGCTGGCTTCAAACTCCTGGGCTGAAGCCATCCTCCCGCCTCGGCCTCCCAAAGTGCTGGGAGTACAGGTCTGAGTGACCACACGTGGCTTGTCCCTGGAATCCCTAAGCTGAGTCGTGGGAAGGGTTTGAACAGGAGCATAAAGAGCTCTAATTTATATGCTTAAAGCAGTTTCTCACTGCAGTGTGGGGGACAGACTGCAGGCCGGGCAGGAGTGCAGAGGAGAAGCACACAGACAGGACTGTCCAGGCAAGAGCAGAGGGCGGCTTGGACTGTGATGGGCTTGGGGTGGTCCTCTCCGCTTGGTTTGTAAGCCGTTCTGGTGGGGTGCAGTGATGGGTGACTGTGGTTTTCATTTTCGTATTTCTGATGACTAATGAGGCCGGCACTTTTTCCTGCTGTTAACATTTGCATGTCTCTCTGTGAAGCCGGGTTTAAGTCTTTTGCCTATTTTAAAATATCGAGGCTGGGCACAGTGGCTCACGCCTGTAATCCCAGCACTTTGGGAGGCCGAGGTGGGTGGATCACCTGAGGTCAGGAGTTCGAGACCAGCCTGACCAACGTGGTGAAACCCCGTCTTTACTAAAAATACAAAAATTAACCGGGCCTGGTTGTCAGGCACCTGTAATCCCAGCTACTCAGGAGGCTGAAACAGGAGAATCACTTGAACCTGGGAGGCAGAGGTTGCAGTGAGCCGAGATCACGCCCATTGCACTCCAGCCTGGGTGACAAAAGTGAAACTCTGTCTCAAAAAAAAATAAAAATAAAAAAATTGAGTAGTTTGTCATTTTCTTATTTATTTCTAGATGTTTTTTATATACGGTGGAGATGAATCTTTTGTTGACGTGCGTTGCAAATATTTTCTCCCAGTCTGTGGTTTGCCTTTTCTCTCTCTAAATGGTGTCTTGATGAAAGCCTGTTCTTAGAATTCAACTAAGTTGATTTACCCATCTTTCGTCTGTACACGGTGCTTTTTGTGTTCCATGTAAGATACTTCTCGCCTCCCTAAGTTCCTGCTGATATTCTCTGTCTTTGTTGTAAGCCTTATATATATATATATTGTGTGTGTGTGTTTGTTTGTTTGGTTGGTTTTTTTTGAGATGAAGACTCACTCTGTCGCCCAGGCTGGAGTGCAGTGGCACAATCTCAGCTCACTACAACCTCCACCTCCTGGGTTCAGGCAATTCCCCTGCCTCAGCCTCCCAAGTACCACAGGCGCCCGCCACCACACCCGGGTAATTTTTGTATTTTTAGTAGAGATGGGGTTTCACCATGTTGGCCAGGCTGGTCTCAAACTGCTGACCTCAAGCGATCCACCTGCCTCAACCTCCCAAAGTGCTGGGATTATAGGCGTGAGCCCCCATCCCCAGCCTGTTTGCTTTTTGTTTTGTTTTGTTTTGTTCTGTTTTTGAGATGGAGTTTCATTCTTGTTGCCCAGGCTGGAGTGCAATGGTGCGATCTTGGCTCACTGCAACCTCCGCCTCCCAGGTTCAAGCAATTCTCCTGTCTCAGCCTCCCAAGTATCTGAGATTACAGGCACATACCACCACGTCTGGCTAATTTTTGTATTTTTAGTAGAGACAGAGTTTCACCATATTGGCCAGGCTGGTCTTGAACTCCTGACCTCAGGTGATCCACCCGCCTTGGCCTCCCAGAGTGCTGGGATTACAGGTATGAGCTATGGTGCCTGGCCGCTTGTGTGTGTGTGTGTGTGCGTGTGCGTGTTTTGTTTTTTTTTGAGAAGGATTATCACTCTGTCGCCCAGGCTGGAGTACAGTGGTGTGATCTCAGCTCACTGCAACCTCTGCCTCCTGAGTTCAAGCGATTCTCCTGCCTCAGCCTCCTGAGTTGCTCGAACTCCTGACCTCAAGTGATCTGTCTGCCTCAGCCCACCAAAGTGCTGAGATTACAGGCATGAGCCACTGCGCCCAGCCTGTTAGCTTGTTTTTGAGACAAGGTCTGGCTGTGTCGCCCAGGCTGGAGTGCAGTGGGTGTGATCTCAGCTCACTGCAGGCTCCATCTCCTGGACTCAAGCGATCCGCCCACCTCAGCCTTCCAAGTAGCTGGAACTACAGGTGTGCACCACCACGACTGGCTAATTTTTTGATTTTTTTTTTTTTTTTTTTTTGTAGAAACAGGGATTCACCATATTGCTCAGGCTTGTCTCAAACTCTTGGGCTCAAGCCACCCTCCCACGTTGGCCTCCCAAAGTGCTGGGATTACAGGTGTAAGCCACTGTGCCCAGCCCCCGTCATAAGCTTTAATATGTTCACTTTCACATTTAGCTCTAGGATTTGTCTTCCTTTTGTTGTTGTCATTGTTGAGACAGGGTCTCACTTTGTCACCCAGGCTGGAGTGCAGTGGCATAATTATAGCTCACTATAGCCTCAAACTCCTGGGCTCAAGTGATTCTCCCACCTCAGCCTCCCATGTAGCTGAGAATATAGGTGCAAGCCACCATGCCCATCTAATTTTTTTTTTTTTTAATATAAACAGGGTTTCACATGTTGCCAGGCTGGTCTCAAACTCCTGGCTTCAAGTGATCCACCGGCCTTGGCCTCCCAGAGTGCTGGGATTACAGGCGTGAGCCACGCATGCAGCCATGTTCCGTGTCGGTGTGAAATCAGCGCTTTCCTACATGGATATCCAATTGCTCCAGCAGCATTTATTGTAAAAACAACCACCACCTTTCCCTGCAGGACGCGGCTCCCTCTGTGGTAGTCCCGTCACCGTGTGCAGATGGGTCTGTTCTTGGATTCCCTTCTGCTCGTGGGTCTTTTGCACGTCCTTGTGCCTGGGGTATATTTTGAATGAACAGGAGTCTACAGGGGCCGGGCACAGTGGCTCATGCCTGCAATCCCAGCACTTTGGGAGGCCTAGGGAAGTGGATCAGCCCAGGAGTTCAAGAGCAGCCTGGGCAACATGGTGAAACCCTATCTCTACAAAAAGTATTTAAAAACCAGCCAGGTACAGTGGCACATGCCTGTGGTCCTAGCTGCTCGGGAGCCCGAGGTGGGAGGGTCACTTGAGCCCAGAAGGTTGAGGCTGCAGTGAGCCAGGACTGCACCACTGCACTCCAGCCTGGGCAACGGAGCAAGACCTGACTCAAGAAAAAAAGAGCCTATGGGATTTGCTGTTGCGTCCAGTGTGGGCTGTGAGAGAGAATTCAAGGATGCCTCTGAGGGTTTTCACCTGAGTAGACTTTTTTTGCCTTATCAACTTTATTTCTGACAAAGCAGATTGGAGAACATGAATCTAGATTTTAAGGCCCAGAGAACTTGTAAGGCCATCCCTGTCCATGGTCTGACCCGGGACTGCCCACCTGCGGGTCAGCTTGGGCCCACACAGCATGCAGGGACGCTGGCCCTGTGCCTGCTTGGGGGTAGGGAGGGAGTGAGTCCCCAGGGCTCGCGCCATTTAAACAGATCAGCGCCCTGCAGTGCAGGCATCTGCACAAGTCAGTGCCGAAGCCTCGGCATGACGCGGTCAGACAGGTCACACTCCTCTCCAGGGAAGGATGGGGGGTGGGGGGGTGAGGAGAGAAGCCAGGAGTGGCCCCTCATGGAAACATGACACTGTTCCCGTGTTCCCTCACCCAGAGTGGGCTGGGCAAGGCATCAACCATGCCAAGGCTGTCCTCCCGCACCCCGAGGCCACTTCCTTAGTGCCCACTGCCACCCCTCAGGCTCCTCCTGGTTCCACGGACAGTTGGCTTCTTCCCCAGGAAGGTTTTGAACCAGTGAGATCCATGCAATAATCAGGTTAACTCAAGCGCCACCCGGCAGCCAAGGCTGACACGCCGCGCCGCCTCCCCGGTCTCGGGAGCTCCCAAGCGCTTTGTAAGAGATCAGCTGAGACCCATGGTGGCCTGAAGCCGCACAGTCTGGAAAATATGACTCCCCTCCCATGGCCGGGCTCCCCTCCCACCGCCAGGCTCCTAAGAGAAAACATGGTCTAAAGCTGAAATCGCCTTCTCCTCTCTAACGCCCAAAGAAATTAAAGTCCAAGGTCTTTTCTTTCTAGCACGTCATATGTGACAGAACCTTCTCAACCAAACAGTCCCGAGACCGCCCAGATGGCTGTCTTCCCATGCCCGTGCTCCGGGGGCAGCAGGACAGGCCTGGAAACTGAGTCTGCAGGTCTGTGGAGCTTTCAGGAGAGAGCCGGGCCTGGGCCCAGCAACCCAGCAAGTGAGGTCACCACCCAGCCTCGGCCATCTTGCCAGGGGTTCCAGCTGACTTGTTAGATGGCATGGTGTGGCTCTCAGCAAGGAAGCCAGCCCCTCACCCCCCTGGGACTCCCCCTCAACAGGGCACCTCCCTCTCAGCAGCATTCCAGGAGCAGCTGGCCTGTTCACACAGCGGGGCATCCTTGGAGCCTACATTCCACCCCACGCAGCCAAACTCGATTTGGAAAACGCCTACCTCCAACTATTCAGGCACCTCCTCAAATCCCAGGTCTTTTTTTAAAAATAAGTTGAATCAGCCAGGGGCACGGTGGCTCACGCCTGTAATCCCAGCACTTTGGGAGGCTGAGGTGGGCAGATCACCTGAGGTCAGGAGTTTGTCACCAGCCTGGCCAACATGGCAAAACGCTGTCTCTACGAAAAACACAACAATTAGCCAGGTGTGGTGGGTGCCTGTAATCCCAGGGAGGCTGAGGCAGGAGAATCGCTTGAACCTGGGGGATGAAGGTTGCAGTGAGCCGAGATTGCACCACTGCACTCCAGCCTGGGTGACAGAGCGAGATTCCGTCTCAAAAAATAAATAAATAAAAATAAGTTGAATCAGCCGGGTGCGATGGCTCACACCTATAATCCTAGCACTTTGGGAGGCCGAGGTGGGTGGATCACCTGAGGTCAGGAGTTCAAGACCAGCCTGGCTAACACGGTGAAACCCCGTCTCTACTAAAAATACAAAAAATTAGCCGGGCGTGGTGGCAGGCGCCTGTAGTCCCAGCTACTCAGGAGGCTGAGGCAGGAGAATGGCGTGAACCCGGGAGGCGGAGCTTGCAGTGAGCTGAGATCACGCCCCTGCACTCCAGCCTGAGTAACAGAGCAAGACTCCATCTCCAAAAAAAAAAAGACCAGCCTGGCCAACATGGTGAAACCCCATCTCTACTAAAAATACAAAAATTAGCCAGGCACGGTGGAACGCACCTGTAATCCCAGCTACTTAGGAGGCTGAGGCAGGAGAATAGCTTGAACCCGGGAGACGGAGGTTGCAGTGAGCCAAGATTGCACCACTGCACTCCAGCCTGGGCGACAGAGTGAGACTCCGTCTCAAAAAAAAAAAAAAAGTTGAATCATAGGAAATTGCCATTTTTTTGTGGGTCAAAAGGTCACATTTCAGCAATTTCACGTGGTTCAAACTGGGGCTGATTGGCGTCGTGGGAGGACCACAAAGTCCCATGGGTAAGAGTGGGCCCAGGAGTCCCGCCGCCTGGTCTCACCCAGCTCTGCTCCCTGTTCCTGCACACTCGTCTTTCTCTTCTGTAAAGGGATGGTCAGGTCGTGCCCCTCCTTCAGTGTTAGGAAGATCCTGTCAGGTAACACAGGTGAAGCTCCCAGAGCAGGGCCTGGCACATCCGCAATCAGTGCATGGCAGTCAGTTGTTGCCGTTGTCGGTAGCAATAGCATTAGTAACTGTAGCCGGGTGTGGTGGCTCACACCTGTGCTCCCAGCTACTTGGGAGGCTGAGGCAGGAGAATCACTTGAGCCCAGGAGGTCAAGCCTGCAGGGCGCCATGAATGCACCACTGCACTCCAGCCTGGGAGACAGAGCGAGACCCTGTCTCTAGAAAAATGAAAGATACAGGCTGGGTGCGGTGGCTCACGCCTATAATCCCAGCACTTTGGGAGGCTGAGGCGGGTGGATCACCTGAGGTTGGGAATTCGAGACAAGCCTGACCAACATGGAGAAACCCTGTCTCCATTAAAAAATACAAAATTAGCTGGGCGTGGTGGCGCATGCTTGTAATCCCAACTACTCGGGAGGCTGAAGCAGGAGAATCGCTTGAACCCGGGAGGCGGAGGTTGCAGTGAGCCAATATCACACCACAGCACTCTGGCCTGGGTGATAGGGTGAGACTCCGTCTCAAAAAAAAAAAAAAAAAAAAAGAAAAAGAAAAAGAAAAGATACAGTATTAGTAACTGAAGGTGGGATGTGGGGGTGTGGGGGTGGGGCAGACACGCAGAACGGGGAGCAGGAACTCTGCTTGCCCAAATGCAGAGTGGAGAGATGGCGTGAAAGTGAGTGAGTGCACACGTTACTCTCGGAAAATGACACAGCGTTGCTGGAAGACGTGCAGCCAACCTGAGACACGGACCGCCTGCATTCCTGGGCCAGCAGACTCGCCCCTCAAGTCAAAAGGAATAAATGTAACCAAAGAAGTGTGAGACTTACATACCCCAAATCCCAAAACACCACTGAAAGAAATTAAAGATCCAAGCTCCTCCTGGACGCCTGGGCTCAGGAACCCTCCCCTCAGAACGATCTTGGCCACCGACCTACACAAATCCTCCCCTCCTCTCATACCCAAAGGGCATTGTTGCTATAGTGCCAGCCCTTCAGCCCCTCGGATGCTCCAGCTCCTTATTCTAGAACTCTCCATCGGCAGTTCTTTCTCTCCAGTGACGCTGCCTGTCCATGGACCCACCAGCTTTTCACTGTCCCTGCCGCCTGCTGCCCATCCTTCCCGCCCCACCCAGCGCAGATCCCTGCAAACAAACGCAGCTCAGCCTCCCGTCTGTGCCGTCTCCCACCAACACACTCAGACAAAACTTCACTCTCACACGTAACCCAGCCTGCAAACAGCCCCAGTCCCGGTGGCTCCCAGCAAAGGGCATTTTGTTCTTCCCCTGCCGGGCTCTGCAGGGCTGGGCCCCGGGCTGCAGGTTGAGGTCAGGGCCGCTGTCCCTGAGGTCTCAGCTGCAAACAGGCACACTCCCTTCTGCTGTGTGTCCCAAGGGGTGAAGCAAACCACGGCTCAGCCCAAATCCAAAGGGTGGGTAAGTTTCCGCCACTGCCGTGACTTGGGCAGGGAGAGAGAATCTCGTAAACACACACGACCATCTCCAGCGCTCTTCCCCTGCCCTGCCACGCGGGCCACTCACCGCAGCCAGAGAAAAGCACAGCCGTGCTGCCAGGGGCCTGGGAAACTTGTGAATGGAAATTCGCAGGAGCCCTCAGTGCTGCCCACCTCTCCTCCTTCCCTTCCTCTTCCTCCTCCTTCCCTTCCTCTTCCTCCTCCTTCCCTTCCTCTTCCTCCTCCTCCTCCTCCAATCTCCTCCAGTTCTGAGGGCCCAGCCTTCCGGCCACCAGGGGATGGTGCAGGCCCAGGCCTCTCCCCTCTGCTCGCCCCCCAGTGGGGTAGCGGTTTATCCTCTGTCCACTCATGACATGTGCACTTTCTGCATACGTGTTATACTCTGAACAAAAGTAACAACAACAAAACCCTCCATCAGCTCGGCCTCGCTGTCCACTTGCTGCTGACCAGCTGTCAGGCCTATTCCTTTGAAGAAACAGAGGTGATTAGAAGGAAGCTCTTCCACCTTGTCCACAGGACGCCAGCATTCCTGCATCTCTGGCTCTGAGCTCCTTCCCAGTACAATGTGGTGGGCCAGGCCCTCCTGG
The DNA here is from genome assembly GCF_000001405.40 of Homo sapiens. Lineage (NCBI taxonomy): Eukaryota > Metazoa > Chordata > Mammalia > Primates > Hominidae > Homo > Homo sapiens. The sequence goes on along the minus strand of NC_000021.9, from coordinate 6,471,122 downwards.
GGGCTCTGCTCCTGCAGTGCCTCCTCTCATGTAGGCAGACACAGAAATGAGGCAGAGGCTAGAAAATGATGAGGGCCGGGGAGATGTGTTTTTCTTTTTTCTTTTTTTCTTTTTTTTTTTTTTTGAGATGGAGTTTCGCTCTTGTTGCCCAGGCTGGAGTGTAGTGGCGCGATCTCAGCTCACTGCAACCTCCACCTCCCAAGTTCAGGCGATTCTCCTGCTCCAGCCTCCCGAGTAGCTGGGATTACAGGTGCCTGCCACCACAACCAGCTGTATTTTTTCTTTCTTTCTTTCTTTCTTTCTTTTTTTTTTGTATTTTTAGTAGAGACGGGGTTTCACCATGTTGGCTAGGGTGGTCTCGAACTCCTGACCTCAGGCGATCCACCCGCCTTGGCCTCCCAAAGTGCTGGGATTACAGGCGTGAGCCATTGCGCTGGCCAGTTTTTGTATTTTTAGTAGAGACTAGAGACGGGGTTTTGCTATGTTGACCAGGCTGATCTCAAACTCCGGACCTCAGGTGATCCTCCCACCTTGGCCTCCCAAAGTGCTGGGATTACAGGTGTGAGCCACCCCACTTGGCCATTCGTGCACTTTCAGTGGTCAGGTGTAGCTTTTTCATTTTAAAATAGGACCTACGGCTCACATTGATATAACTAAGTGAATAAATAAATGAGGGAGAAGGAAAACTCTAATAATGGAATGCCAAATGGTACATGGAGGAGTGATGGGCTTAGAAAAACCACTATTCAGCAACCATTTTATTTTATTTTATTTTACTTATTTATTTACTTTTTTTTTTTTTTTGAGACGGAGTCTTGCTCTGTCGCCAGGCTGGAGTGCAATGACACAATCTCAGCTCACTGCAACCTCCGAGTCCTTGGTTCAAGTGATTCTCCTGCCTCAGTCTCCCGAGTAGCTGGGATTACAGGCACGCACCACCATGCCCAGCTAATTTTTGTATTTTTAGTAGAGGCGAGGTTTCACCATGTTGGCCAGGCTGGTCTCAATCTCTTGACCTCGTGATGCGCCCGCCTCAGCCTCCCAAAGTGCTGGGATTACAGGTGTGAGCCACAGCTCAGCAACCATTTTAATAAAAATCAATTCAGACAAAATCATCAGTAAGTGTTAAAACTAGAGAGTGGGCTGGCTGCAGTGGCTTACCCCTGTAATCCCAGCACTTTGGGAGGCCGAGGCAGGTGGATCACCTGAGGCCACGAGTTCGAGACCAGCCTGTCCAACATGGTGAAACCCCGTCTCTACTTAAAAAAAAATACAAAAAATAGCCAGGTGTGGTGGCAGGCACCCGTAATCCCAGCTACTTGGGAGGCTGAGGCAGAAGAATCGCTTGAACCCGGGAGAGGGAGGTTGCAGTGAGCCGAAATCACACCACTGCACTCCAGCGTGGGGGGGAGGTTGCAGTGAGCTGAAATCACACCACTGCACTCCAGCGTGGGTGACAGAGAAAGATTCTGTCTCAAAAAGAAACAAAACAAAACAAAATAACAAGTTAGAGAAACCAGATAGACTGAGTGACAGATTCATACACACCTGCACACGTGTGTGTGTGTGTGTGTGTGTGTGTGTGTGTGGAGAGACAGAGAGGGAGCAAATGTAGTAAAAACTTAACATTTGAAATAACAATGAGTTTCTGATAATAGAAGCAAAAAAAATTAATATTTGGAAAATCTGGATGAGGGAATATGACATTCTGTATGGTTCTTGCCACTTTTCTAATCTAAAATTACGTTAAAATTTCTAAAAAATTAAAAAGTATTTGGGCTGTGTAACAAATTACTGCAAACTTGAGTGGTTTAAAACAACACACATTGGGCTGGGCGCGGTGGCTCACTCCTGTGAGCCTAGCACTTTTGGGAGGCCGAGGCGGATGGATCACCTGATGTTAGGGGTTCGAGACCAGCTTGGTCAACATGATGAAACCCCGTCTCTACTAAAAATACAAAAATTAGCCTGGCATGGTGGTGCGTGCCTGTAATCCCAGCTACTCGGGTGGCTGAGGCAGGAGAATCGCTTGAACCCGGGAGGCTGAGGCTGCAGTGAGCCAAGATCTCACCATTGCACTCCAGCCTGTGTGACACAGACTCTGTCTCAAACAACAACAACAAAAACAACACCGTTTATCATCTTTCTCTCCCGCAGGCTGGCTGAAGGCTCTGAGGGAGGCCCTGGCCACCTTTCCCAGCCCTGTGGAGGCCGCCAGCCATCCCTGCCATTTCTCGTCTGGTGGCAGCACATCTCATCTCTGCCGCCATCTCCACATGGCCTTTTTCTCTCCGCGTGTCTGTGTCCACGTCTCTCTTCTTATAAAGACTGGACAGGATTTTTTTTTTTTTTTTTTTTTTTCTGGAGACAGTCTCGCTCAGTCGCACAGGCTGGAGGACAGTGGCGCGATCCCGGCCTCCAATGCCACCTTCCAGAGCCTTCATGATGTAACTCCATCCCTGTCCCCTCCCCACATCGCCGGCTTTATTGTTCTTCGTGTCAGTTCCTGCCAGTGGACATTTAATTCTAATTCACGTCTCACTCCCTCCCCTACTGTGAGCCCCACGTGGCAGAGACCGCGGCGGAGCTGCGCGGGCCGGAGGAGGCTGCGGAACATCGCTCTGACCTGAGCCGGGGACGCTGCGGAGGCGCAGCACGTTCCTCTGCCCAGAGCTGATGGGCACCGTCCGTGTCTTTCGCTGCAGGTCCGGGGGGAGACTCGGGGGCCTGGGATCCCCCATTTAGCCATAGGGCGGGGGGATCAGGTTCAGCCTCTGAAAGTCCAGAGCACGATGTTTGGGAAACGGCCCCGCCCGCGGCCTCCGGGACCTGGCGAAGGAGCCCCGCGGGGCGCCCCTGCTACCACCCTGCGCGGAGTCGGCCCCGTCCCCGAGAGCGCCCGGCAGCCCCTGGCCGTGGGCCGCACCGGAGCCGCGCAAGGCGACTGTTCTGCGCCTCGGCTCGGGGTTCGGACCCGGCTCTGGGCGCGGTCACGCGGGGCGCTGCGCACGGCGTCCGGCGGCCACAGAGCGCGGCCATCGAGTCCCGCCCCGGCGCGGCGCCCCCTCCCGGGCCCGCGACACACGCCCTCGGGGTCGGTCCTCGAGGACGCGCAGGGCCCCCCACCCACCAGGACGCACGTTTCAAGCTCATCAGTAAAGGTTCCTTAAATTCCCGAAGGGCAAGAAGTTAACCAAGTAAAACAGCATCGGAACACCAGGTAGAAGACACCACCGGGGTCCGCGGGTGGGGGTGGCTGGAACCCGGGGCGGGCGGGCTCAGGCGAAGAGGAAGGCGGGGGAGGGGGCGGCGACCCGGGTCTGCGGTTGAATCAACAGGGCGTGGGAATGGGGCGGGCGGACTGGGGTGGGGGCATGCCGGGGTCCCGGGGAGGGCGGGGGTCGGGCAGGCCGGAGGGTCCCAGGCTGCGGCGGGGTGGGGAAGGGGTGGGGGGGAGGGGCCCGGGCTGGGTGGGGTGGAGGAGGGGCTGGGCGGGCGGGTGCTCTGCCACGAGACATTGGCCGGCGCCGGCCTCCGCCCCCGCCTCTCCGCCAATCACCGCCCGCCTGCTCCCCTCGCCGTGGGTCCCCGCGAGGCCGCCACCCCGGGGTCGCCGTCTCCGCCTCGCCGCAGTCGGGGCAGCCGCTCGCCCCTCTTTTCCATGTATCCGTCCAGGTGAGATCCGGCCCCACCGAGACTCGCTCCCCTCTCTGGACAGAGGATCTCAACTGGGTCCCGGTTTCCCTCTCCGCGCCTCCGCCCAGAGTTGCATCATCTGCACCGAAAGGCGGCGAGACAGGGTCTCCCAAGACCCCCGCCCCACCGGCGCCCACGCCTGCGGTCTTGACCGCCCAGAAGATGGGGGCTGGCCGTGCACGTGGCCCCGGGCTCCCACCCCAGCCCCCGCGCCGGCGGAGTGGACCCCACTGGCGGCGAGTCCTGGAGCGTGGAGCAGGGACGCGGGGTGGGAATCCGGGGGAGATGCACGTTTCGGTGCCCAGCATTGAGTTCGCTGCATTGTGGATGGGAAATGGCTGTTTGCAAATCGCCCTTTTTGGCGGACCGTGTGGGGTGGCGGTAAACGCTGTCGTTGCGCGGGCGGCACGCGAGGTGGGTGCCCGCTGGGGGAGGGACGCGGGGCTCTGCCCAGGTTGCGTTCGGGGGATGGAGGTTTTCCTGGGACCTCACTTCCCTGAGCCCCAGGCGAGACCGCAGCTGAGCTGTAGGATGCAAGCGGGAGGCGGAGCGTGGGTGGGAGAGCGGAGCGCGAAATTCTCGGCTTCCCGAGGATCTTCTGGGCTTACTTGTCCCCAGCTTTGTCCCAAAGTGTCGCTTCCGGAGGCGGAGTGGCCGGCGGTTTCCGGGTCTCAGTAGGGTCTGGATCTCCCACCTGGAAACCTAGAGGAGTTTCCCGCTCTCCGTGCGCGTGGCCTTCCCCAGGCCCCTCCGGGAGTGCTGGCGCGCGAGTGCAGGGGTGCCCCGGGAACGTCGTGACCCCAAGGGGGTCTTGTGGTTTAAGGAGCGAACGGAACCGGCCAGGCGATGCCAGCTGAACCCGCCTTCCCGGGACGCACGTGCATCCGGCCGCCCGGCGCTGTTGTCTTGGGGAGCCCGCGGGTTCGGGTCTGGGTCGCCTGGCGAGCTTTCCGCCGAGCGCCTCTGAGTTCTACAGAGCCCCGACGGCTTGCGATCTGCGTTCCCGGCAGTCCCTTACCTTGCGAGAGAGGGCTCCAGGGCGAGGCGAGGGGCCAAAAGCAAGGCGCTGGGCCGCCTGCGTCTGCCGGGGCCTCGGGTCCACGGCTTTCTGGAAGATTCGGCGGCGGAGCATGCGCGCCCCAGGCCAGACAGGGCCTGTGCCAGACGGAGAGTCCCTTCCCGTAGGTGACTCCCGCGACCCGCGGAGGAAGGTGCTGCTCCGCTCACGGCGGCGGCTTCTTACAAGGTTGGGATAGAAAGAAAAGCGTGGGACACGAACCTCTGAAAGCGGGTGCATTTTTCTGGGGAAGAGAAGATCCAACGCCTTCGGATTTTCAGACAAGTCCGTGGTCCCAAGACCTTGAAAGCACCACCCTCCAGGGTCGTTTGAAGCCGCTTTGGCCCCCAGTCTGGTGAATTGCAAAGGTGGAGGGGAGGCTGGGAAGTCCAGGAGGCCAAGCTGAGGCCTGGGTAGGGCCTGTGCGCAGAGACCACCTGAACAGCATACTCCAAGGGCTTCCAAAGGCAGCCGGCTTCCGCAACTTTTTCTTTTTTAATAGGCTTTTTAAAAAAAAAGCAGTTTTAGGCCGGGCGGGGTGGCTCACTCCTATAATCCCAGCACTTTGAGAGGCTAGGCGGGCGAATCACCTGAGGTCAGGAGTTCGAGACCAGCCTGGCCAACATGGTGAAACTTCGTCTCTACTAAAAATACAAAAATTAGCCGGATGTGGTGGCGGGCGTCTGTAATCCTACTCAGGAGGCTGAGACAGGAGAACTGCTTGAACCCGGGAGGTGGAGGTTGCAGTGAGCCGAGATCGCACCACTGCTCCAGCCTGGGCAACAAGAGGGAGACTCCGTCTCGAAAATTTAAAAAAGAGCAGTTTTAGATTTAGAAAAATTGAAAAAATAGATAGAGTTCCCCCAGTTTCCCCTGTTATTAAGATCTTAAACTGATGTCGTATATTTGTTACTTTATTTATTTTCTTTTATTTTTATTTTTATTTTTATTTTTTGAGACGGAGTCTCGCTCTGTTGCCAGGCTGGAGTGCAGTGGCGCGATCTCGGCTCACTGACCTCCCCCTCCCGGGTTCAAGCGATTCTCCTGCCTCAGCTTCCCGAGTAGCTGGGACTACAGGTGTGCGCCACCATGCTTGGCTAATTTTTGTAGTTTTAGTAGAAACGGGGTTTCACCATGTTGGCCAGGATGGTCTCGATCTCTTGACCTCATGATCCGCCCGCCTCGGCCTCCCAAAGTGCTGGGATTACAGGCGTGAGCCACCGCGCCCGGCCTATTTGTTACAATTAATGAGCCAATTCCACGATCACATAACCATTGTTGACATTAACCAAAGTCCGCGCTTGAGTCAGATTTGCAGAGTTTTCTCCTCACTGCCCTTTTCTATTCCAGGATCCCATGACAGATTCTGTTGTCACGTCTCCTTACAGAGTTTGAGCGGTGCTGAACTGTCAGCACCATCTGTCCGGTGAGTGACGGCTGTGGACTTAGTCTTCCTGTTGAATGTGGGGAATCAAAGGAGGGTGAAGCGGGGCTGAGCCCAGTCCTGGGCCCTCTGAAGAAGGCAAGGTGGGAGGTGGTCGTGGGTTCCTTGTCCCCCCAGAGGAGGGGCAGCAGATGGGACCTCGCCTGGCTTTCTTTTTGCTTTCTTCTTTTTTTTTTCTGTCTCATCTATTTCAGGTGCGTGTGTGTGTTTTTAATCCTGGGTAAAATACACGTAACACTGATCACTGTAACCATTTCTAAGTGTGAGGCAACCACCGTGACTATCTCCACCCAGAACGTTTTCATCATCCCCAGCACAACCTCTGCACCCATTAAACAATCACCCTCCCTTCCCCACTCACCTCAGCCGCTGGCCGCTTCTATTCTACTTTCTATCTCTATGAATTTGCCAGACATAGAGGGGCGTTCGAGAGTCCCAGGTGCCTCATCGTGGAAGTGGAATCACACAGTATTTGTCCTTTTGTGTCTGGCTCATTTCGCTTGGCATAATGTCCTGAAGGTTCGTCCGTGTTGTAGCGTGTGCCAGAATTCATTTCTCTTAGGGCTGAGTAATATTCTAGTGTGTGTATGAGCCTACTGTGTGTGTTCATCCGTCTGCGGATACGTGGGCTGCCTCCACGTTTTGACTTGTGAATAGTGCAGCAGTGAGCATGGGTGTGCAAGCATCTGTTTTGTTGTTGTTGTTTTATTTTTTAAATAGAGATGGGGCTGGAGCCCAGGCTGGTCTTGACCTCGTGGACTCAAGTGGTCCTCCTGCCTCAGCCTCCCGAAGTGCTGGGATGAGAGGCGTGAGCCACCGCACCCGGCCCAAGCAACTGTCTGCTTCCATTTTTTTTGGTATATGCCTATAGGAGAGAAATGGCCAAGCGGCTGCCCACAGGGCTGGTGCCTGTGTTTTTGTGCAGTTCTTCCTGGGCTTCTCTGAGGGAGCAGAGCACGCCTCCCAGAGGGGGCCGGGTCAGCAGGGTTCGCTGGAACCCCACAGCATCCGAGCCTGAACCGACGCCTCTCTCCTTGCTTTGCCAGGTCCCAGCATGCCTTCTGAGACCCCCCAGGCAGAAGTGGGGCCCACAGGCTGCCCCCACCGCTCAGGGCCACACTCGGCGAAGGGGAGCCTGGAGAAGGGGTCCCCAGAGGATAAGGAAGCCAAGGAGCCCCTGTGGATCCGGCCCGATGCTCCGAGCAGGTGCACCTGGCAGCTGGGCCGGCCTGCCTCCGAGTCCCCACATCACCACACTGCCCCGTAAGTCCTGCTTTTGATCACAAGAGGGCTGATCCATAACCTGGAGGGCAGGAGTTTGTTACCTGGACACCACACAGCCAGGAGGACATGAGGTGTAACCCCCTGTAGTCACTCTGGATTGAGGAGCTGGGGGTGGGGCCATGCCGTGTAGATGAGGCTCTGAGAGGCCAAGGCCTCCTTACGCTGCAGCCCAGCGCCTAGGCCAGTGCCTGGCAAGACAGTGGATGCTCAGCAAGTAGTTCCAGAATAAATAAATAAATGTGCCCAGGTCACATGCTTTGCCCGGTCTGTGGCTGCGTGTGCACATTCACTGGAGGTGAGGGACCAGGATCCTGCCTGCGCTCTCTTATTTATTTATTTTTTATTTTTTTGAGACACGAGCTGGAGTGCAGTGGTGCAATCATGGCTTACTGCAGCCTCAATCTCCCCCAGTTAAGGGATCCTCCCACCTCAGCCTCCCAAGTAGCTGGGACTATGGGTGCCCACCATCACACCCAGCTGATTTTTGTATTTTTAGGAGATGGGGTTTCACCCAGGCTGGTCTTGAATGCCTAGGTTCAAGTGATCCGCCTGCCTTGGCCTCCCACAAGTGTTGGGATTACAGGTGTGAGCCACCGCGCCCGGCCCAGCCTGCACTTTTCCGTTAACTCTAGGTCATGAAGACTTCCCGTAGGCATTACATATTTTTCCATAAGGGCTGTTTTTCTGGTGGCACAGACTGTTCGGTGAAGAAGCCATCATTTTGTAAGCCCTCTACGGGGTAGATAGATGTTTGCAGTTACCTCATTTTACATAACTGCAATAGAAGATACGACACATTCATTTAGCCAACAAGTCTTTCCTCAGCGCCATGTGCATTTCGTGCCCTGCTCAAGGCGCAGAAGATCTATCAGTGGAAAAGACAAATCAACAAAAATCCCTACCCCAGCATGAAACTGAAATCAAGCTCACTAAGCCTTAGGATTATCTTTATTTCCTTAGTGTAATCTTGGAGGAGAACAAATAGATCAAAGAATGTGCTTCTTAGATGTTTGATTCCTTTTTTTTTTTTTTTTTTTTTTGAGACAGAGTCTCGCTGTCACCCAGGCTGGAGTGCAGTGGCGCGATCTCAGCTCACTGCAACTTCTGCCTCCCGGGAAGCGATTCTCCTACCTCAGCCTCCCTAGTAGCTGGGATTACAGGCATGTGCCAGCACGCCCGGTGGATTTTTATGCTTTTAATAGAGATGGGGTTTCACCATGTTGTCCAGGCTGGTCTTGAACTCCTGACCTCAGTTGATCCACTCGCCTCGGCCTCCCAAAGTGCTGGGATTATGATTCCTATTTTGTGTCCACCACTACCAGCGTTTATGGTTGTTGATTTACAGTTCAGAATGGGTGGGGGTGGCTGGGTGTACTCTCAGTGCAGCAATAGAAAGAAAGAAGTGACAGTGGACAAACCCAGAAGGTCTGAGTGTCAAACATACTCAGTGCTGGGAGCTCAGGAGGCCAAGCAGATGTGTGGGCAGCCAGGAGGATGGGCTCTTGCTGCCAAGACAAACCCAAGAGAGCAGTGGGTGAGAGGCCCGGTGAGGTCGGGAGTGGCTGCTGGAGGGTGGAGTGGGCAGGGAAGACAGGCCCGATTCCTGAGGGCTCCGTGAGCTCCTAACTCTAGGGCATGAGAAGGAGACGATGCCCTCCAGGTTGTAAATGGCGTTGCACCTGCACCTCACATACTGGCCTCATTCATCCTCCGAAGACACCCCCATCCTGAGACGCAGAGCCGACGCCGCTTGTCTCCAGTCGGAGGGCCCCTGAGAATAGTGGCGTTGCGGGGAGGTGCTGCAGAGGTGGGTCAGGAGTTGGAGGTTCATTCTAGGACAGTGGCGTGTCCTCCCAGGAGACTCTTGGGCTGTGGAAGTGGGAGTCCTTGAGATAAGGGGCTCCAGGGCTATCCCTGCAAGTCACATCCTTTTTCTTGCTAAGCGCTCTGGGCCTGGCCCTGATCACCTCTGCAAACTTCTCAGGTAACTTCACAGCCACCGAGGCCCAGTGCTGAGTCAGCACACCTGCTGCAGGGAGGCGGGACTCTTCCCGCCTGGCTGGCCAGATGCCCGAACTGAATTAATGAACTAATCCCCGGCGCTGTCACCCTGGGGCTTGGCTTTCCACCTGGCCCTGGCTCTCTACACCTGCCAAGCCTGGTTCCCTTCTGCCGAGAACTGCTTCTGAGGGAACCTCCCTGGCCCCTGTACAGTTTGGGGACCTGGCAGGACTGCCTTCTGCTCCCCGGGAAGGGTGCGATTGGATTCCAGCTGCTCTTGTTGGCGCCTGTTTTGGCCTTCAGGGTAGCTCTCCCTGCAAATGTGGCACTCCCTCCATGGCACAGGACCTCTGGGAGCTGGGTTCACCCCAGGTCTAAGGGTCGCCTCCTGGGGGGCAGGACCCAAGGACCCTGGCTGTTCAGCAGGTGACTGTGCTGAAGAGGGGGCCCAGGGTTAGCCACGGGGTGTCATCGGAGCTGCAAGGCCCAGGGAGGGGTTGCGGGTCTGGAGACCGCTGTAAGCCATGCGTGTTCCCAGATGAGTATGTGGTGAGCTTGGTGCAGATAGATAGGGGGTGTCATCAGCATCTCCCTGGGGGAGGATGGCAGGGGCATGAGGGCCATTTAGGAAACCACCTGGACCAGGGTTTGAGGGTTTACACAGCCAGATGCTGCAGGGCAGGGCATCACGAGCCTGGCCGACAGCGCCTCTGCCGGGGCTCTGAGTCTGCCACGTGCCTGACATTTTCTGTGCAGGGCTAGACATCCCGCCTGCGCTTTGCAGCCATTGTCCCTGGTCTAAGGAGTCTCTGCCCTGACACTTTTTTGCTTCCTATGGTCACATGCTGAGAGATGAAAGGAAATGTCATCTCCAGTAAAGCCTTTCTGAAAAGGTGGACCTAAACCTTTGTTTTGGAGTCAGTATTTGCTTATTTTAACTTTTTTATTTGGAAATAATTTACTACTCACAATAAGTGGCAAAAATAATAGATCCTTTGTACCCTTCTCCCAGCTTCCCACTAACAACATCTGCCACGACTGTAGGTTCATTTTCAAACCTGGGAAGCTGGCATTGGTGCAAATAAACCACAGGCATGATTTGCTTTTTATAGATTTGTATGTCTAAGCATGTGTGTGTATGTGTGTTTCAGGCGTGTGTGTGGGATGTGTGTTAGGTGTATCTGTGTACAGATTTGTGTAACCACCACCCAGATAAAGCCAGTTCTTTTTTTTTTTTTTTTTTTTTTTCCAGTTCTTCGAGTGTTGATTTGTGTAAGACAATGTCTGCCAGGGCTGGTACTATTTTTTTTTTTTTTTCCTGAATAATTGTGGACTCCTCTGTTTCAGGGCAAAATCTCCAAAAATCTTGCCAGATATTCTGAAGAAAATCGGGGACACCCCTATGGTCAGAATCAACAAGATTGGGAAGAAGTTCGGCCTGAAGTGTGAGCTCTGTGAGTGCCCTGGCTTTGGAGAGGGGCTTCCTCCATCTACACTGGGCTCCGTGGGCCTGGGGGGTCCTGGGGGGTCCTGGGATGGATCCCTTAGGCAAGGCCCTGGGATCAGAAAACTCGCTGGTTAATGAGTGGCCAAGAACATATCAGCTTAAGTTTGGGAAAAACACACAACAGGGCATTGTGTCAGAGGGTGACCAAAGTGACTCCCCAGCAGATGGACAAGGGAACGAACAGGTGACCTTTGAACTGAGGCCGGAGTGGAAGCAGCGAGGGTGTGAAGGGCCGGGTGAGGGTCAAAGGCAGAAGCAAGCAGGTGGGGAGGGTTAGCGTCATGCCTGCTAAGGAGCAGTGGACGGGTCCTAGCACGTGCTGTGAGCCACCCGCTGTCCAGGGAGCGGTTACCTCTGTCTTGCCAGCTTCGTGGGGACAGATAGTTCAGCTCATCATTTATGAGACAGAGAATGGGAATTTGGAGGGTCTGTGGCTGGCCTCGTCCTGGGTGCGCAGGGGGTCACCTGAGGTGTGGTCTGAGGCCTCCGGGGAAGGGCATTTCTTTGCAGGACGCAGTTTCCAGGCTCAAGAGCGTGGAGGGAATTCCTAAGGGTCGCTCTTCACCAAGAGCGCAGAGCCCTGGTAGACCTCAGCATCGTCACAGAGAAAGCTGTGGGTGCAGAGGCCTTGGGGACAAGGCGGGGACGGAATTTCGTATTTCAGATGACCAAGGTCAAGTGAGTTCGGAGGGAGGCAGGAAGGGTGCCGCGGAGAACCCCGCGACAGGGCCAGATGGAGGGGGTGGAGTTCGAGTGGGAAGGAGAGGGAACCAGTAACATGGCTTGGGACTTTTTCATCCTGAGATGCTCTAATGTCCCAGCCGGGGGACCTGTGAGAGCTGGGGCAGGCGCTGGGGGAAGGAAGTCAGGGGTCGGTGCGTTGGGAACCGATCGCCGATTCACAGGAGGGGCCTCGTGGGAGCCTGGCCCTCCTCTGCCCCCCTCTAGGGAAGGAGATCTCGGAGCTGCAGCAGAGCAGCCCCCTTCACAGAGACCCCCAAGGCAGCAGGGCCGGCTCTGTGCTCATTTGTCAGACAATAGGGACCCTTAACTCGTACGCAGCACGCGTGGCTGGCTCACTGTGCTCCGTACAGGATGACGTCTAAACTTGGCGGTTGCCCTTGAAGTAGGTTTTGGAATGCCCGTTTTACAGACAGACACACCGAGGGTCAGGTTGGTCACGTGGCTTGCCGGAGGCCACCAGCTCTGATTTCTGCTTCGGAGCTGGCCCCCAGGCGCTAGTGAGAATGATCTAACTGAGGGTTTCACAGTATGGGACCCAGAGGGGTCCGAGAATGCAGGCCTGTAGAGGGCCAGACCCCGAGAGTCCTCCCCACCACACACAGCGCCTCGTCCTGGTTCTAGGGGCAACACCTGTCTGGTGGTTGCTTTCAGAAATTTTGAGGTGCTGCAGGCTGGTCCCAGGTCCCTCAAATCACATTTCATGCAGCCCATTCTCTCGCTCTTAAAAACTAAATATTTTTAAGAGCTGGAGAGGGAGAGAGGACTTGCAGTAAGGAAGGAAGTGCAAGTGAAGGCCTTGGCCTTGTGCGGGAACTGCGCAGGGAGCCCTTCCCCGGGCAGGTGACGCCCCACAGGGGAAGGAGGACAATGGGAGGCTGTAGGGAGAGTATGCGAGTCCCCATCCGATGGGGAAGCCAGTGCTGTGGCTTCAGGACATCAAGCTGCTTTGGCAGGGGCCGCTGGGTATGGCTGGGCATAGGGGCGTAGGGGACCCAAATCCAGGCGCCTGCCCGCCACAAGCCCAGCTCGTGGGTGGGGGGACGGGGTTTTCTGCGGCGCCCCCCAGTGAGGGCTGCTTATGCCTCTCTGGTTCCCACAGAGTTGCTCAGCGCCCTGCAGGACCGGTAGGATGGGCTGCAGGGGGAGAAGCTCTGATAGGCTAGTGCCCAGGTGCAGGTGTAGGGGAGGTGAGTGGAGAGGTGGCAATTTTTCAGAACCCACAGACCCCCAAGCCCGTCCCCCACCCTGGGGTGTATCAGGTAATGGGGGGGTGAGCAGGAATCAATGGGGGGGTGGTCAGGGGGTCCCCTCTGTGATTCATCTCTGCCTCCCAGTGGCCAAGTGTGAGTTCTTCAACGCGGGCGGGAGCGTGAAGGACCGCATCAGCCTGCGGATGATTGAGGATGCTGAGCGCGACGGGACGCTGAAGCCCGGGGACACGATTATCGAGCCGACATCCGGGAACACCGGTGGGTGCCAGGCCCAGAGGGGGTGGCCGGGGCTGGCTGTCCCCTACCCATGCCGAGCCTGCCGGGACCCGGGGGGGATGGATGAGCTGCAGCCGCATGTGCTGGCCCGCCTGGCCGCCTGCTCCCTGGCATCTTGCACCCGCTGCCGGCCTGTGTCCCAACCTAGCTTCCTTTGACCAGCATTCGGGGCCAGTGCCGATGCTCTCGGGGCGATGGCACCTGGCAGTGCCTGGCACACAAGACGAGCACCCGGAGTCTGCTCTTCCTGTGCCTGTGTACCCGGCTGGGCCTGGAGGAACCAGATCTCCTGTCCTGCGCCGCTGCCTCCTCCTCCTTGACGTGTACCTTTTATTTCTGCCTCTGGCAGCCTCTCTCCCCCTGCACTTGAAGGCAGAAGCAGCCATGTTGGGCAATTTTGGAATCCCACAGAACCCTCTTCCCTGGGCCCTAAGGGAACCGGCATCGGGGTGTGCCCCTGTGTCCCAGGCAGGGGCGGGGCAGGGCTTGGGGGGTCACTGGGCCCCTCTCACCCTCTGTGTGCCCTCAGGGATCGGGCTGGCCCTGGCTGCGGCAGTGAGGGGCTATCGCTGCATCATCGTGATGCCAGAGAAGATGAGCTCCGAGAAGGTGGGTGGGCGTGGCCAGGGGCGGGGTCATAGGGCAGGGGATGAGGGTGCCTGGGCCAGGCGGAAGGTGCAGGCCACCGCTTTCCCTCCTGCAGGTGGACGTGCTGCGGGCACTGGGGGCTGAGATTGTGAGGACGCCCACCAATGCCAGGTTCGACTCCCCGGAGTCACACGTGGGGGTGGCCTGGCGGCTGAAGAACGAAATCCCCAATTCTCACATCCTAGACCAGGTGAGGCACCTGGGGCCTGGAGACAGGCATTCCCTAGGAGGGTCTCGGTCAGGGATGTGGGGGTGACTGAGGTGTCAGGGGTCAGCTCACGGGCTCTGCTCTCTTTCTATGCAGTACCGCAACGCCAGCAACCCCCTGGCTCACTATGACACCACCGCTGATGAGATCCTGCAGCAGTGTGATGGTGCGTCCCTCTGTCCATCTTGATTGCATTTATCCCTGGCTGCCTGGGAGTGTACACATCTCTTGCCCTCTCCTTGGTGAACTCCTATTCACCCTTCAGAACCCAGCTCAAATGTTCCCTCTGTGAAATGCTTTTCTAGAGCATTTCTCTAGAACAATTTCCTCCCTCCGTTGTGCCCTCTTGGCCTCCGCCTGTGGTTTACCTGTAATAGCAAACACAGGGCATGGCTGTATTTGTTTACCCAGCAATCTCTGCAGGTCTGCAGGGGCTCCTCCTGCAGATAATGCAGACAGCGAGTCTGTTCAGGGCCCAGGCTGGTGCTGGGCTCACAGCTTGGACTTCATTTGGGATCATGCCCTGACTCGGCATCAAATTCATCTGCAGAACAGAGCTGGTGACATCTGCGATGAGCTCACTCTCTGTTACAAGCATGAGGCCGGCTCCTTGGGCCCTTTTCCAGGGACTCGGTGCCAAGGCCTGTGGGGGTTGGTACTGAGGTTTTCCCAAGAGATCCCTTTAGAGATAAGTTGCCAAGAGGTTGGCGCCCTGGCTTCCTATTGGGAATCCGGTGTTGGCATGGGCTGGAGTACACCCTCAGTCCGTGCCCAGGAGCCGGGCTGTAAGGTCCAGGCATTTGGTTGTTTGGGCTTTATGTGTGAGAACTCTCTCATTTGGCAAAAACAGTCCTGTCTCAGCATGGGTGCCCAAGCTGCTCCGTCTCGCTGAGTCTTTCCCTGCTGTGACTTCTCCACCAGATGCCCGCGCTGGCGGCCAGCAGTGTGAGCGCCCAGCGAGTTTCTGCGCTGAAGCCTAAAAGACTGATTCCATTTCCTGTGTAAATTCAGTTAACTCACTCACACCACGCAAACATCCAACAGCCCACGGAGGTGGTTAATTCACAGCCTCCCTCTGCCCGCCCTCAGCGCCTGCACCCCCCGGACAGGGTCCTGTCTTTCTGCATCCAGCCAAATGGGGGTTTTAGGGGTCGAGTGTCACTGAGCAAAGACTGGGCTGGGGTGCCCCAGGCTGCCTGTTTCTGAGGCTTTCACAGACCAAGGGCAGCAACGAGGGCTGCTCCAACTGGAGAAGAAGTTTTTCTTTTGAACTTTTTGGTTACCCACCGTGGTTTGGGCTGAGTGTGTTTTCAATGATTATTACTATGAGTGATGGGCTGGCCAGGCAGGGACCCAAGAATGTTATCCGTCCACCAGGGAAGCTGGACATGCTGGTGGCTTCAGTGGGCACGGGCGGCACCATCACGGGCATTGCCAGGAAGCTGAAGGAGAAGTGTCCTGGATGCAGGGTGAGTGGTGTGGCCGGGCCGGAGAGGGGCAGTGCGGAGTGGCCCCGGCTTCTGAGCTGAAAGCTGTCATTCCTCACGGTCTGCTCAGCACGCTGTCTCCCGCGGTATTTCTGCGCTGCCTGGGAGGTGTTTGGGAAGACAAGGGTGCTTGACACATAAGGGACCAGCAGCTCGTGACCCGAAGGAGCTGGGGCTGGGTGCTCGCTCACCGGCCAGTGTCTTGGAGAACCTTCCTGCACTGAGTGGGGGGTCGGAGTTCCAACTGGGGGCCTCTGAGGATCAGCCAGGAGCTCTAAGTCCTCTGGTCCTGAGTCTGCCCCTCAACTGGGGCTTGTGGGAGTTGGGAGAGGGTTCCTGGACTCGGGGTTAAGAGCAGGTCTGAGGACGGGTGCCTAGAAAGGTCCCGCTGATGAGACAAGGGCGTTCTCTCCCTGTTGCTTGCCCTTGAAAAAGACGTCACTGCCCAGCAATGCCCTTTGTCCCCAAAGGCTCTGCTGCTCCGCCGCAGGGTGGTCTGTCTGGACTGTCCTGGGGGCCCCGCTCCGAGAAGCACCCCGGGGAGGTCAGTTCCTCCCAGGCACCTGCCTTTACTTCTGAGCGCCCTGCACTGAACATTTAGGTCATTACCGCTTTAATACTTGGAGCCTGGGTTCTTGGGTTTCTCATCCTGCCTCTGAGGCTGGGAACAGGCCACCACCCACAGGCAGATCATTAACAGGCAGTTGTTAACGGCGGTATTGGCCACTCCCATAATAGAATATCGAGGCATGTCCAGGCGGGGCTTTTGCTGGCCTTGAGCCCTGAAGCCGCGCCCTCTGCAGATCATTGGGGTGGATCCCGAAGGGTCCATCCTCGCAGAGCCGGAGGAGCTGAACCAGACGGAGCAGACAACCTACGAGGTGGAAGGGATCGGCTACGACTTCATCCCCACGGTGCTGGACAGGACGGTAGGTCGAGTCCAGAGCCCGGCCACAGTGCCGGTGCAGCCTGTAACTCACCCTCACACTGGGGAGCCTGGCTGACCCTGGGCCCCAACCAGCTTCTCCACTGAAACAGAAGGGCAAGCCCCGCACGCATGGTGAGAAGCTGGTCTCGAAGGTCGAGACAAAGTAGACTGGGGGACGATGTCCGCACACGTGGCCTGACCTCACCAAGGGATGTAGCCCAGGTGGCACAGGCAGGGAGCAGGGAAAACGTGTGAAAATTAAGGCCCCGGAAAAGTCTGTTAAGAGCCAAAAAGCTGACTTTGGCCTGAGGGAGAGCAGAGACCGAAGGGCCGGTGTGGGTCACACGGATGCTCAGTGGGGCTGGCGGGCAGTTTTGCTGTCTGCAAAACGTGTTGGAACTGGAAAGTCTGCAGACGTGCCGATCCCAGGGGGAGAGGCTGGGGTGAGACCTCTGGGGTCCTACCGCCTAGACACGGGGTCCACCATGAGGCTGTTCACCCTCTTGGTCACGTGGGAGCGGCTCCCACGCTGACGGGCTGTGGTGGGGTCCTGCTCAGGTGGTGGACAAGTGGTTCAAGAGCAACGATGAGGAGGCGTTCACCTTTGCCCGCATGCTGATCGCGCAAGAGGGGCTGCTGTGCGGTGAGTGGGTGGCGGGCACGGGGGTATGGGGAAGGCAGAGATGGCTAGGGGGCACTGGGGATGGCTGGGGGCGCACCCTCAGTCAGCCACCGACCTGCATGTGTAAGACAGCAGTTCTGAGGAGTGTCACTGCGGCGGCCACGAGCCTCAGGTGTTGTCTGCCTGCCCAGTGTGGTCACCTGCTCAGGTGAGGGCAGGAGGCCATGGGGCGGGGCTTCGAGCTGCCTTCCAGAATGTGTTTCTAGAACAAGGCTGAAGCTCTCATGGCACTTATTGTTTCTAATCAAGTCCACCAGGGCCCCTGGGGCGGTGGCTCTGCATTGACGGGGCCCATGGCCGGGACTGGGTGCTGCGAGCACCCTGGAGCAGCTGGGGAGGGGACTGGAGCCTGAGGCTGTCCAGCTCGACCCCGCTCACCTTCCTCCTACCCCGTGCCCCTCTGCCCACCTGCTTGGGGGTGGACAGACCAGGTGGCCGCTGGCAATGCCACTGACTAGCCACACAGGCAGCAGAGGCCCTGTAGGGACCATAGTTGATCTAGACCTCTGGGGACTCGGAGAGCACACACCAGCTTCTAAAACGCAGGCAGGGACATGTGAGGTTTCTACATGTGCATTCCGTGTGTCATGTCACTTTGGGGGTGGTGACAGGGAAAGTGGAAGGAAACCAGCCCTCAGCATGGCCAAGTCCCCCGTTAGCTGAGCCCCAAACTAGAGATTGGAAGAAAGTCTTGATTGAAAAACCATTTCCCAGCCAGGCGCGTTGGCTCATGCCTATAATCCCAGCACTTTGGGAGGTCGAGGCGGGTGGATCACCTGAGGTCAGGAGTTCAAGACCAGCCTGGCCAACAGGGAGAAACCCCGTCTCTACTAAAAATACCAAAAAAAAAAAAAAAAGTAGCCGATGTAATGGTGCATGCCTGTAATCCCAGCTACTCGGGAGGCTGAGGCAAGAGAATTGCTTGAACCTGGGAGGTGGAGGTTGCAGTGAGCCGAGATCACGC
This sequence comes from Homo sapiens, assembly GCF_000001405.40. NCBI lineage: Eukaryota > Metazoa > Chordata > Mammalia > Primates > Hominidae > Homo > Homo sapiens. The sequence continues at coordinate 6,452,985 of NC_000021.9, read as the reverse complement.
CATTGCACTCCAGCCTGGGTGATAAGAGCAAAAACTCCATCTCAAAAAAAAAAAAAAGAAAAGAAAAGCATTTTCCAGATGAATCTGTCACGAAAGGTGACTTGGTGCCCATAATCGTTGGGCTCTCCCTGTCTCAGTCTCCCTGCTCCCCATGTTGGTGGAGAAACAAGCCCCTGCCTTTGGGGCTGGAAAGCAGGTCCATGGGCCCCGTTACAGAGGAGGGTGCCTCTCTTCCTGTGGGGGCTCCTACTGCAGACTTAGACCTTCCCGACTGCTGTGTGCACCCTCAAACTAAGCCCAGAGAAGACGCCTCTGACTCTGACTTCAGGGCTCCTAGGGACAGCTGGTGTCACTGTGAGCCTTGGTCTCTTGTTTATAAAGCAGAGCCCAGTGTGCAGTCAGGCAGCCTGCAGGCGTGGTGCTGGGGGCTCCGTCCTCGTAGCATCGCTGGCTCTAGGCTCAGGGCCAGGAGGTTTGCCAGGGGCCGCAGCCCCACTGCAGGCATTTCCCTGGCACCAGTGCCCACCCCAGCTCATTATGAAGCCCCGAGTGGACACAGAAACTCCATGGTGCACAAGGAAGAAGCCGATGCTCACGGAGAAGTGGGGTCCTCCCAGCCCCTCTCCCCGAGGCAACCCCTCTTGACGGATCCTTCGGAGTGTGTCTGACATGCTCCCATGCGTGCACGTGCACAATTCATGCATACGTGTGCACCCACGCACGCTCACCCTGGCGCGTCTGACTCGTGGCCCTCTCTGCAGGTGGCAGTGCTGGCAGCACGGTGGCGGTGGCCGTGAAGGCCGCGCAGGAGCTGCAGGAGGGCCAGCGCTGCGTGGTCATTCTGCCCGACTCAGTGCGGAACTACATGTAAGACACGGCTTCCCTCCCAGGTCCCTGCTCCTCTCCATCCTGCCACCCTTCCCTGGATGCCTCTCACGCCTCACCTGAGAACCGGCAGCCAGAACTGGGAGGGGAGGAGGCCAGCGGGGCCCTGTGAGCACCGCCTCCACTCTCCTGCCCACGTGCCCTCACGCTGTGGGGCTTCCCAGCCTCTTAATGCTGTGAAAATCAATGCACACTCGCAGTGACAGCCCTGACAGGAGGGGCATGAAAGACGGTGGCTCCCTCTCTGTCCCTCCTGTCCCTTCCTCTCTGGTGTCTGTCCCCCTCACTGCTCTGGGGTCCGTGAGCTCCAACGGGTAGCCCTGGCCACATGGACTGACGTCCTCTTGGGCCGGGCCCTGTGCCACCTCCTATCCACCCTGACTCCCTCTGCTGCTTCCCCCAAACTCCAGATTGGGAACGAGTGCTGCCCAGGTGGCCCCCTAGGACTTGCTGTGACTGTTTTGCCCAGAGGCCCCTCGGACAGTAACGCCACAGACCTCGCTGGTCACCGGGCAGCCAGGCTGAGACTGGCGCTGCTCTGCACCTGGTCTCCGGAGGCGGTACCAGGGCGGGTGTCTACAGACCCCCATGCCCTGTCCCCTGCACCTGCAGGGTTTCCTCCATGGCCTGCAAGCTGCAGCGGCTACACAGCTCCCGAGAGCTCAGCTGCCCTTGGAGGGCCAGGCCTGGCTGGTGGGTGCCCCCAGTTGGGTTCCCCAGTGTGGGGTGATTCACATCTGGTGCCCAGGGTCAAGATGCCCTGTGCAGGGCTCCTGCCCACCCCCGTCAGTGCAAGAACACCATCTCCCCACATACTTGGCCAGCCTGCCATGTGTACCTGTGCGTGTGAGTGTGTGAGGGGCAGAGAGCGAGCATGAGAGGACGTGTTTATCTGAGTGCCTGAGCGATGGCTGTGTGCATGCTCACACACGCTTGTTGGCCATGGGGGCGGGAAGTCCAGCCCCCAGGCTTCCCCCTGGGGCTTCCAGCCAGCACTTGGGGGTCTCTGCTGCACCAGTGAGGTCCAGGAGAGGGGCTGGGCAGGCAGTGCGTGCCACTCAGCAGGGGCGGGGGCCCGGTGGGGCCCTGCGGGGACTCGGTGACTCCCCCATCCCGCAGGACCAAGTTCCTGAGCGACAGGTGGATGCTGCAGAAGGGCTTTCTGAAGGAGGAGGACCTCACGGAGAAGAAGCCCTGGTAAGACCGCTCGGCCGGAGACCCGCTGCCTGTGCTGGCCCTGCCCAGTGTGACAGGCAGGAGAGCACTCCCCCGTGGCCTGTGCTGGCCCTGCCCAGTGTGACAGGCAGGAGAGCGGTCCCCGTGGCCTGTGCTGGCCCTGCCCAGTGTGACAGGCAGGAGAGCGGTCCCTGTGGCCTCCTGCTGAGGTGCTGCCGGCGGGGGTGCGAGAGCGTTTGTCCTTATCCTGATCCCCCCGACCTGCCCTCTTCCCTCAGGTGGTGGCACCTCCGTGTTCAGGAGCTGGGCCTGTCAGCCCCGCTGACCGTGCTCCCGACCATCACCTGTGGGCACACCATCGAGATCCTCCGGGAGAAGGGCTTCGACCAGGCGCCCGTGGTGGATGAGGCGGGGTCAGTCTCAGCCCCTGCTCAGAGCTCAGTCCTGGGTTCTGTCTGCCCAGCTCCACCCCGTCAGTGTCACTGGACAGGGCAGCCATGCAGACCCTGCAGCTGGGCTGATAGGCCCGCCTGGGCCGCCTCATACAGACGTTCAGGGCATTGGAGGCCCCTTGCCGGTCCCTGAGCAGCCTGGGGCAGGGCTGCCGTGCTCACTCCAGGCCCTCAGACCTCAGCCCACCCACCCTTTGTGTGCAGGCTGTCCTGGGCCCACCTGGAGGTCAGGGGAGAGATGCCCCGAGGACATGTCTGACAGCAGAAAGCCTTGGCACACATGCCCAGTGACCACTGAGAGCCCCACGTCGCGGAAACCTGACGGCTGGTCACCCTTGACCCTGGCTGAACGGGTCCAAGGACTCTTGGTTTCTTTCTCCCCACCAGGGCCCAGACTGGTTCCTGCCGCGTGTAGGCTCGTGGCAGAGGACTTCCATGTGTGGCCAGAGAGCGCTCCTCCCTGGGGCAGCTGAGCGTGTGCCCCACCGTCCTGGGAGGGGTGAGGTATGAGCGCTGACCCCTGCCTGCCCCCGTCCCACAGGGTAATCCTGGGAATGGTGACGCTTGGGAACATGCTCTCGTCCCTGCTTGCCGGGAAGGTGCAGCCGTCAGACCAAGTTGGCAAAGTCATCTACAAGCAGTTCAAACAGGTACCCAGTCACCTACAGGCAGCTCAAACAGATGCGCAGTCACCTACAGGCAGCTCAAACAGGTGCCCGGTCACCTACACGCAGCTCAAACAGGTGCGCGGTCACCTACAGGCAGCTCAAACAGGTGAGCGGTCACCTACAGGCAGCTCAAACAGGTACCCGGTCACCTACAGGCAGCTCAAACAGGTGCGCGGTCAGCTACAGGCAGCTCAAGCGGGTGCGCGGTCACCTACAGGCAGCTCAAACGGGTGCCCAGTCACCTACAGGCAGCTCAAACGGGTGCCCGGTCACCTACAGGCAGCTCAAACGGGTGCCCGGTCACCTACAGGCAGCTCAAACGGGTGCGCGGTCACCTACAGGCAGCTCAAACGGGTGCCCAGTCACCTACAGGCAGCTCAAACAGGTGCGCGGTCACCTACAGGCAGCTCAAACAGGTGCCCGGTCAGCTACAGGCAGCTCAAACAGGTGCGCGGTCACCTACACGCAGTTCAAACAGGTGCGCAGTCACCTACACGCGGCTCAAACAGGTACTCAGGCACTTCGGGACCCCAGAGGGTGCCAGAGTACTCCAGCCTCGAAGGCGGGACACCGCGCTTCCCGTGTGGGGGTGCTGGGTCCTCGACCCTCAACACCACTTAGGCCGAAGCTGGCTGCACCCCTCAAACCATGAAGCTGAGAAGCACCCACTTTACAAGTGCAGCAGCCGGAGAGGAGGCTCTCATCAGTGCAGGCTCATCCACACCAGCCGTGTTTTGGGGACTTAAGGAGGTCATTCGCGCTCAGAGGCTGTCCCGGGCACCATGCGGCGTCTGCTGGGGTCTTTCTCCTGCCCAGCCTCATTTGCCTGTGCATGCACTTGGTTATCCAACAAGAGCTAGAACATTCTGGGAGAAGCCCACGGTGGCTCCTTGCCGGGCTGGTCAGACTCCGTGGTTGTCCTGAGACACCCACCCTCTGCTGCCCTGAGGGTGGCCCAGGAAAGTTTGTGTGACCTTCCACACGGATCCCCTGGGACATGCAGGTGTGGCTCTTGACACTGGAAAGGCTGAGGGTTCTGCCCAAACCTAGGAGTGAATTCGACTTCTTTCCCATCTCACACACACACCCGAGACGTCACCCGAATCCACGTATTTCCCACGTTCGGCTGCCACTGCCTCCCGGGTGGGCTTTGCAGGACCCACCATCGCATCCCCTCTCACTCCACAGAAAACTCGTGGGGCCATGTTCCCCCTGCCACTGACCACGCTTCCCTTGCAGATCCGCCTCACGGACACGCTGGGCAGGCTCTCGCACATCCTGGAGATGGACCACTTCGCCCTGGTGGTGCACGAGCAGATCCAGTGTGAGTGGGGCCCTGCTCTGTGCGTGGGGTTCTCACTGGGGTCAGGCCACCAAGCCTGGCCTCTGCCATGGGCAGCAGCTGGGCCCCCCATCCCCTGCGGGGTGTTAGGGGAGTGGGTGGTGCCGACCTTCAGTGACACCCAGTCTTTATGCCCGGGCCTCCCACATGCCCTGGGCTGGTGGGCTGTACCTGTGATTCCTGCAGGGACCCCTCATCAGGCCACACTGGGTAGGGCCCTTTGTCCAGCATGCAGAGGCTCAGGAGTCCAGGCCCCTTGCCTCCGGGGAGGCCAGCAGTCTTGGGGATTCTCAGGGACAAGCCCAGAAACATCTAGAAGGGTTTCAAGTCCTGACCCTGGCATTCGGAGGGCTGCTCTGAATGGAAGCCTCATGTGGGTCTCACAGGAGCCACTGATGGGCTGTCCTCAGAGCCCCGCTCCCAGCAAGCTCATGAGGTTTTGCAACTCCTGAGCGCATCCCCGGGCGTCCCCACCACATCCCCACAGGCCAGGAGAGTCGCTCGCAGGTTTTGGGTCATAGATGGCAGCCCTGGGCCTGGGGCCCACAGGAAGAGTTGGGAGGGGCCCTGGAGCCTGGAGCCTGCCCACCCACCAGGCCTGTGTGCAGGGGGTGAGCGCTCGGTGGCTGAGGCTGGTCCGTGAGGGCCCCAAGTCTAACCCCATCTCCCGTCCTTGGCTCTGCAGCGCAGGACCAGGCCTGGGCAGGCGTGGTGGGGGGGCCTGCAGGTAGGTATCACCCACCCCTCAGAATGGCTCTCAGGCTCAGATTCACAGCCTCCCCATGGCAAATGGAGGCCTTCCAGGGTCCTGGACCCACCCCCAAGCTTGGGTAGGAGGGATCCCCCTCTTAATCTCACATTTACTTGTGTTTGAACATCTCAGAAAAAAAAAAAGATGCAAATTCCAATGTCAGGGTCCCCAAATCAAGTCTTCCTGGAGCATGTCCACGCTTGTCACCACCGTCTGTGGCTGCTTTCAAGCACGTCAGGGCTGCGTGCTCATAACAGAGACGGCACAGCCCCCAAGACCTAAAATACCACCAGCTGGCCCTTGTCGGAAAGTCCCCTGGCTGGCCCTAGTCCATTGACTCTGGGCCGAGCTGCCAGGGCCACAGAAGCCTGCGGCACTCAGGGCTCCCAGGGCTCCCTTCTCCAACAGTTGCTGTGCCTCCGTTTCCCCAAAATGCAAGGAGCTGATCTCATCTGTGTTCCCTATCTTTTCCTGGGGCTCTAAGTGGGCCACCCCAAGGGACCTCTGCCTACAAAGAGAGGAGTGACAGCCGTGGCGGAGTTGGGACGGGCTCCGAGGGCTCTTCCTCACCCGCACCTTGCTCACCCCTCTGTGCCTCATGACAGCTGGTGTAGGGTCCTGTGGAGACGCAGGACCAAGAGGATGTGTGGGGAGCGGGGAGAGAGAGGGAACGAGATCTGTGTTAAGGAACTGGATCATGAGATCACGGAGGCTGACAAACCCTGAGATCTGCAGGGTGAGGCGGCAGGCCGGAGACTGGAGAGCCAGCAGTTCAAGCCCCAAGGCAGGAAATTCCACCTTTGGTTCTATTCAGGCCTTCAACTGCTTGGGTGAGGCCCTCCACAGTAGCACACGTTATCTGCCTCTTGACTCTTGTGCTAATCCGGAATCCCCTCACACATGCCCAGAACGACGTGTGACCAATGCCTGGGCTCCCACGGCCCCGTTAATCTGTATTAAAATTAACCATCACAACAGCCCTGTCTGGGTATGTGGCATGGGAGCCTCGGCCAGCATTAACACCGGGTCTACGCTTGCCAGGAGAAAGCAGGAGGGGTGAAGACAGAATCAGGCCAGAGATGGAAGCTGTGTGCTGCCCATGGTGGCAAGGGGTTTTTGTCTGTTTTTAGAGACAGGGTCTTGCTCTGTTGCCGACTGGAGTGCAGTAGTGCCATCATAGCTCGCTGCAGCCTCGACCTGCTGTGCTCAACTGATCCTTCTGCCTCAGTCTCCCAAGTAGCTGGGACCACAAGCGTGTGCCACCATGCTCGACTAATTTATTTTTAAAAATATTCTGTAGAGACAGGGTCTCAATATGTTGCCCAGGCTGGTCCCAGACTTCCGGGCTTAAATGATCCTCCCACCTTGGCCTCCCACAGCGCTGGGATCACAGGTGTGAGCCACTGTGCCCGGCCCTGTAAGCGGGTTTGAATTTCATGCCCACACCGGCTCTGAAGTCATGAGTGCCTCAGGAGCTCAGCCGGTGGGCCAGGGAAGGGTGTGTCCTGACCTGCGGTGGGTGGAGCCTGGCCTGGGGCCCAGGGGACTCACGTGGTGGGTAGAACCTGGCCTGGGGGCTCATGGGGCTCATGTCAGAAGAACACTGGCTTGGCCAGGCACAGTGGCTCACGCCTGTAATCCCAGCACTTTGGGAGCCGAGGCAAGTGGATCACTTGAGGTCAGGAGTTCAAGGCCAGCCTGGCCAACATGGCAAAACCCCATCTCTACTAAAAATACAAAAATTAGCTGGGTGTGGTGATGTGCACCTGAAGTCCCAGATACTCGGGAGTCTGAGGCACGAGAATCACTTGAACCCAGGAGGTGGAGGTTGCAGTGAGCCAAGACTGCACCACTGCACTCCAGCCTAGGGGACAGAGTGAGGCCCTGTCTCAGAAAAAAAAAAAGGAACACAGCCTTCGCCGCTGGGCTCCAGCCACCCTGGGCCCCCATGGTGCACAGGTGCCCCAGGCCCTCAGGAGCCTCCTGCCCCGCAGCAGCCCACCCAGCCTCCCACGGCACCTGCAAACCCACTGCCTCGTTCTCCCCTCAGACCACAGCACCGGGAAGTCCAGTCAGCGGCAGATGGTGTTCGGGGTGGTCACCGCCATTGACTTGCTGAACTTCGTGGCCGCCCAGGAGCGGGACCAGAAGTGAAGTCCGGAGCGCTGGGCGGTGCGGAGCGGGCCCGCCACCCTTGCCCACTTCTCCTTCGCTTTCCTGAGCCCTAAACACACGCGTGATTGGTAACTGCCTGGCCTGGCACCGTTATCCCTGCACACGGCACAGAGCATCCGTCTCCCCTCGTTAACACATGGCTTCCTAAATGGCCCTGTTTACGGCCTATGAGATGAAATATGTGATTTTCTCTAATGTAACTTCCTCTTAGGATGTTTCACCAAGGAAATATTGAGAGAGAAGTCGGCCAGGTAGGATGAACACAGGCAATGACTGCGCAGAGTGGATTAAAGGCAAAAGAGAGAAGAGTCCAGGAAGGGGCGGGGAGAAGCCTGGGTGGCTCAGCATCCTCCACGGGCTGCGCCGTCTGCTCGGGGCTGAGCTGGCGGGAGCAGTTTGCGTGTTTGGGTTTTTTAATTGAGATGAAATTCAAATAACCTAAAAATCAATCACTTGAAAGTGAACAATCAGCGGCATTTAGTACATCCAGAAAGTTGTGTAGGCACCACCTCTGTCACGTTCTGGAACATTCTGTCATCACCCCGTGAAGCAATCATTTCCCCTCCCGTCTTCCTCCTCCCCTGGCAACTGCTGATCGACTTTGTGTCTCTGTTGTCTAAAATAGGTTTTCCCTGTTCTGGACATTTCATATAAATGGAATCACACAATTGTGGCCTCGTGTCTAACTTATTTCACTTTGCATGGTATTTTCAGGCATGTCAGAGCACGTGTACTTGGTTTCTTTTTGTGGCCGAATAATAAGCCATTGTGTGGATAGACCACATTTTGGTTCCTCATTTATCGGTGATGGACACCTGGTTGTTTCTGCTTTTCAGCCCTTGTGAGTAACCTGCTGTGCACCTTCATGGCCGAGTATGTCTGGACACCTCTTTTCACTTTTCTTGGGTGTGTACCCAGGAGTGGCATTGCTGGTTAATGTGGTAACTCCATGTTTAATTTTTTTTTTTTTTTTTTTTTGAGATGGAGTCTTGCTCTGTTGCCAGGCTGGAGTACAATGGCACAATCTCGGCTCACTGCAACCTCCACCTCCTGGGTTCAAGCGATTCTCCTGCCTCAGCCTCCCGAGTAGCCAGGATTACAAGTGTGCACCACTGTGCCTGGCTAATTTTTGTATTTTTGTAGAGACAGGGTTTTACCATGTTGGCCAGGCTGGTCTTGAACTCCTGACCTCAGGTGATCCACCTGCCTCAGCCTCCCAAAGTGCTGGGATGACAGGCGTGAGCCACTGCGCCCGGCGTCCATGTTTATTTTTTGAGGAACCATCAAGCTGTGTTCCATACTGGTCACACCGATTTCCATTCTCACCAACAGTGCCCGAGGGTTCCAGTTTCTCCAGGTCCTTATCAACACTTGCTATTTTCTTGTTTTAAATTATTATAGCCATGCTAGTGTGTATGAAGAGGTGTCTCATTATGGTTTTGATTTGCCTTTCTGTAATCATTGGTGATGTTGAGTGACCATCTTTTCATATGCCTGTTGGTTATTTTTTGGGAGAATCCATCTCCTGTTTTTAAATTGGGTTGTCTTTTTGTTGAGTTGTAGGAGCTCTTTATATGTTCAGGATACTAAGCCCTTATCATAAGACTTGCAAATATTTTCTCCCATTCTGTAGGTTATCTTTTTACTTTTTTTTTTTTTGAGATGGAGTCTTGCTCTGTTGCCCAGGCTGGAGTGCAATGGTGTGATCTTGGCTCACTGCAACCTTCACCTCCTGGGTTCAAGCTATTCTCCTGCCTCAGCTTCCCAAGTAGCTGGGATTACAAGTTCCCAACACCACGCCCAGCTAATTTTTGTGTTTCGTATTTTTTATTGTTTTGAGACAGAGTCTTTCTCTGTCGCCCAGGCTGGAATGCAGTAGCGTGATCTCAGCTCACTGCAACCTCCGCCTCTCAGGTTCAAGCAGTTCTCCTGCCTCAGCCTCCCCAGGAGCTGGGATTACAGGCACGTACCACCATGCCTGGCTAATTTTTGTATTTTTACCAGAGACGGGGTTTCACAATGTTGGTCAGGCTGGTCTCAAACTCCTGACCTTGTGATCTGCCTGCCTCGGCCTCCCAAAGTGCTGGGATTACAGGTGTGAGCCACTGCGCCTCGTCTACTTTTTAATATTTTTAGTGGAGACAGGGTTTCACCATGTTGGCCAGGCTGGTCTTGAATTCCTGACCTCAAGTGATCTGCCCACCTCGGCCTCCCAAAGTGCTGGGATGACAGGTGTGAGCCACTGCGCCTCGTCTAATTTTTAATATTTTTAGTGGAGACAGGGTTTCACCATGTTGGCCAGGCTGGTCTCGAATTCCTGACCTCAAGTGATCTGCCCACCTCGGCCTCCCAAAGTGCTGGGATGACAGGTGTGAGCCACTGCGCCTCGTCTAATTTTTAATATTTTTAGTGGAGACAGGGTTTCACCATGTTGGCCAGGCTGGTCTTGAATTCCTGACCTCAAGTGATCTGCCCACCTCGGCCTCCCAAAGTGCTGGGGTGACAGGCGTGAGCCATTGGTCCCGGTCTCTTTACTTTCTTAATGTTCTTTGATGCACGGCAGTTTTTAGTTTTGGTGGAGTCAAAATTTGTTTGTTTGTTTTTTCCTGTTGCTCATGCTTTGGGTGTCATATCCATTGGCAAATCCAAGGTTCATGGAAATGTACCCCTATGTCTTCTTCTAAGATCTGTACAGATTTAGCTCATTGTTCGATTTTGAGTCAATTTTTGTAGATGGTTTAACATGGGAGTTTGTGGATGTCTGTCTGTCTCAGCGTCTCTTGTTGAAGAGACGATGCTCCCCCCATGGAATGGCCTGGCACCGTTGCTCACAGATGTATGGGCTCATTTCTAGACTCAGTGCTATTCCATTGATCTGTGTGTCTGGCCTTATGGTGGTACCACACTGTTTTGATTACTATAGTTCTGTAGTAAGTTTTGAAATTGAAAGTATGGATCCTACAGCTTTGTTCTTTTACAATGTTGTTTTGGAAATTATGATGTATCCTGATGTATTTGTCCTTATGTTTTTGTGTGTGAAATTCTTTGAGCTTATTGGATCCCAGCACGTGGCAAGTAAGAGTTCCAAAAAGAAAACAAGGAAGGATCTCAGTAATGAAGTAATTCACAAAACTGCCCCAGAACTCAAAGACATGACTTTGCAGACCGAGAGGCCCACCCAGTGCCCAGCAAAATGGACCGCGAAAGATCTACACAGTGAACATCACTGTGAAATGTGAGGTCACTCAAGACATGAGAAGTCTAAAACACTCCCAAAAAAGGATGAAAAGCCCAGCTCACACAGGGAGGCTTGGGATGAGAAAGGCATCAACTTCAGCCTCCAGCACACATGGAAACCAGGAGATGAACCCTGACGGAATTCAGAAGAGGAAGGAATGCAGGCTGGAAGCCCTGAGGCCAGCACCCTCTCCCTTAGCACCGGAGGCAGGAGACCCACTTCCATCATGCAGGGCAGGCTTTCTGCCCAGGAACACACGCCACCAAAAGGAGGGAATGAAAACAGGAGAGGAAATGGTGTCACAGGAGGTCCCAGGGCCACTGTGAGTCCAGCAGCAGTAGGACAGAGGAGACCTAGGCGAGAAGATTGCTTGAGGCCAGGAGTTCGAGACCAGCCTGGGCAACACAGTGAGACCCTGTCTCTACAAGAAAAAAGAAAGGAAAACAACTCCTCAGGAGGCTGAGGCATTAGGATCACTTGGGCCCAGGAGTTGGAGGCTGCAGTGAGCCATGATTGCACTACTGCATTCTAGCCTGGATGACTCAGTGATACCCTGTCTCAAAAAAAAAAAAAAAAAAGACAGGAGTGATGCTTCAGGGGAGATAAGGAAATCAAGAGGTCGCCAGAGTGCTGTGAGCCTATCAAGAGATCTGCATGCCTGGTGGAGAGTTGGGAGTTGCATCAGAACCTAGAAAACAAAGAGGCCGGGCACGGTGGCTCATGCCTGTAATCCCAGCACTTTGGGAGGCCAAAGCAGACACACTTTGGGAGGACTCGACTCAACACACACACTTGAGTCCAGGAGTTCAGGACCTCATCTCTATTAAAAATAGCTGGGCATGGTGGTGGGTGCCTGTGGTCCCAGCTACTTGGGAGGCTGAGGCAGGAGGATTGATGGAGCCAGGGAGATTGAGGCTGCGGTGAGCTGTGATTATACCACTGCACTCCAGCCTGGGTGACAGAGCAAGACCTTGTCTCAAAAAAAGGGGAGAAAATATTGGAGCTCTGTAAGAAATGTAATTACATAACATGACTAGGCTAGGAATAATAGTTGCTTCATCATAATCGTGTAAACACTGGATATTAATCTATTCTCAATTATAAAACTGTCCTGAAGGAATCCGAGAATGGAATTATATTTCCTACTAGTGGGGAGGAGCATGGGAGAGGAAGAATCTTCATTTTTCCACAGAAGGATGTTGATAGATAACATCTATACTTACAAAAAGAAAAAAGCAGCTGGGCGCAGTGGCTCACACCTATAATCCCAGCATTTTGGGAGGCCAAGATGGGTGGATTGTTTGAGCTCAGGAGTTCAAGACCAGCGTGGACAACATGAGGAAACACCGTATCTACTAAAAATACGAAAATTAGCCAGGCGTGGCAGTGTGCCCTGTAGTCCTAGCTACTTGCGAGGCTGAGGTGGGAAAATTGCGTAAGTTTAGGAGGTCGACACTACAGTGAGCCGAGATTGCATCACCGTGCTCCAGCCTAGGTGACAGAGCCAGACCCTGTCTCAAAAAAAAAAAAAAAAAAAAAAAAAAGGAAGGAAGGAAGAAAAGGAGGGAGACAGGAAAGGAGCACAAGCAAGTTTCTGGACATATGGATGCAAGTAAGTTTATAGGTGAGCGCCACTCCAGCCTGACTGGCAGACGGAGACCCTGTCCGCCCCTCCCCTCTAAAAACAGTAGAGCTCTGGTGAGCTGAACAGTGGTCCTTCAAAGCTACCAGGCCCTAATCTCTGAAACCTGTGAATGGGCCCTCTTTGGAAAAAGAGTCCAGCAGGTGTGAAGCTGAGGCTCCTGAGATGCAGAGACACTCCTGGATCATCCAGGTGGGCCCTAAATGCCCTCGAGCTTCCCCTTCGGTTTTCCCCGTGTGGCCCAGCGTGAGTCCGCCAGGGCTGCTGTAGCAAAGGGCCCCACAGTGGGTGCTTCGACAACTTACTGTCTCACAGACTTGGAGGCCAGAAGTCCAGGGTCAAGGTGTTGGCAGGGATGGTTCCATCAACCCTGAATAATGAGATTCATAAAATACAGTGAAGTCCAGGGTTTATTCAAGCTTAAAGCTTGGGAACCATCACTCGGGAAACAGACTCGAAAAGAATGGGCCAGCGCTCCAGAGTGGGAAGGGAAGGTCTCGCTTACATAGAGGCAGAGACAAGAGAAGTCTGACAGGGTTGCAACGTTTTCCGTACAAGGTAGTGCATAGCTTATAGTGTTTCTTTTTTACGAGACAGGGTCTCGCACTTTGCAGTGGTGTGGACATGGCTCACTGGGGCCTTGATCTGGGCTCAAGTGATCCTCCTGCCTCAGTTTCTTGAATCACTGGGACCACAGGTGTACACCACCACACCAGCTAATTTTTGTAGAGACAGGGTTTTACATGTTGCCTAGGCTGGTCTCTAACTCCTGGGCTCAAGTGATCCTCCTGCCTTGGCCTCCCAAAGTGCTGGGATTACAGGCGTGAGCCACTGCACCCAGCGAGTTTGAACTCTTTAATGCCACAGCTCCTTCTGGGGCTGAGGGAACCTCCGTCCCAGGCCTCTCCGGCTTCTGCGGGTTGCTGGCCCTGCTTGGTGGTCCTTAGCTTGGAGAAGCACCCCCTTGTTCTCCACTTTCATCCTAGCAGGGCATTCTCCCTCCGCATCTGCATCCACATTACCCTTTGTGTAAGGACACCAGTCACTGGGTTAGGGTCTAATGGCCTCATTTAGCTTTAATCACCTCTTTAAAGACCCTGTCTCCAAATAAGGTTATATTCTGAGGTAGTGGGGGTTAGGTCTGCAACATGTCAGTTTTGAGGGGACACAATCTAGCCCATAGCACTCCCCACCCCCAACACACACACACCGTGCACAGAGTGCCTGTTAGGCCGGATGTGATGGCTCACGCCTGTAATCCTAGCACTTTGGGAGGCCGAGGCAGGTGGATCACCTGAGTCAGGAGTTCGAGACCAGCCTGGCCAACATGGAGTGCCTGTTGACGAGCACCTCCCAGCCTTGGCACTTGCTGGACGAGCCTGGAAAAAAGCCACAACCCTGGACCCAGTTTGATCTGGGTTTGAATCCAAACTCTGCCACTTATCAGTTGGGGGTTCTTGGGCAATATGTCCCAATTTCCATGTCTACAAAATGGAGATAAGATCTAGACATGGAGATAAGATCTACCTCATGCAGACGAATGGAGAAGCAAAATGTGGACTATCCGGGCAACGGACAATGATTCAGCTTAAAAAGGAATGAAACCACGCCACGTGCTACAACAGCACAAACCCTGCATGACCCCACGAATCCTGCGTGACCCCACTTATGTAAAGAATCTAGAACAGCTGAACTCAGAGAGGCAACGAGAACAGTGGTTGCCAGGGGCTGAGGAGGGGGATGAGGAATCATTGTTGGCTGAGAACAGTTTCAGTTCGGGAAAGTGAGAAAGTTCTGGAGATGGATGGTGGTGATGGTTACACAACATGAACGTACTTAACCCTACTCAACTATGCATTTACAAATGGTTAACATGGGGCCGGGCGCGGCTGCTCACGCCTGGAATCCCAGCACTTTGGGAGGCCGAGGTGGGCGGATCACAAGGTCAGGAGATCGAGACCATGCTGGCTAACACGATGAAACCCCATCTCTACTAAAAATAGAAAAAAATTAGCTGGGCGTGGTGGCGGGCGCTTGTAGTCCCAGCTACTCCAGAGGCTGAGGCAGGAGAATGGCGTGAACCCAGGAGGCAGAGCTTGCAGTGAGCCGAGATCCCGCCACTGCACTCCAGCCTGGGCGACAGAGTGAGACTCCGTCTCAAAAAAAAAAAAATGGTTAAGATGGTACATTTTACCACAGTGCGTAGGTGGGGGCAGCCCTCACTGAAGACGTGGTATCTGAGCGGAGGCTGGGCAGAGGCTCAGGGCTGCCCAGCGGGCCCTGGGGAAAAGCATGCCTGGCTGAAGGCACAGGTGGGCAAAGGCCTGAGTCAGGAGTGTGGCTGGTGCAGTCCAGGTGCAGGTGGGAGGGCTGGGGAGGTGTGGAGGGTGAGGATGGGGGTGCAGGGGCCTGCTGAGGACGGAGGGGAGCAGATCAGACTGCAGATGGGGGTGAGGGCTGCTCTTTGTACAGGATCTGCTCGTCCTGCCCAGCCAGGAACACTGAAAACAGAGGGGAGCTGAGAAGTCCACACGGGGTGCTGCACGTGCCCATCCAGGCGTAGACTCTGAGGGCATGGAGGCATGGAGTTGTGCCGTTCACAACCTGCACACCTGTCCACAGCAGACCCGACTCCAGATGGGTGGCTGTTCATATGTCCTCCACAAACCTCTGCAGCTGCTTATGACACCTCTTGGCTGTGGCTCATGAAACGATGACTGCAGCCCCACCCTGAAGGATCCAGCCAGCCAGCCAGCCAGCTGTAGCAGCTGTGAGGGGGCAGGTCTTGGTGCCCAGGGCTTTCCTAATGACCAAGCCTGGCCAGCTTCATGTTCTTGGTCTCTGGGCATCTCAGCAATGGCTTGAATTATGCCCTGGCATCAAGCTACCTAAAGGATGGAGACAGAGCCGCTGTGGACACGAACAAAGGCTTTTCTCCGCAGGTTGGTGGCATCTGTGCTGGGCTGTAGTGCTGGCCTGGGAGGTCCCCAACTCTCGGGCCCCCATGACGGTGTTGTTCCTGCAGGTCTGCTGGGGGAGGACACTGGCAGGGAGGCAGGTGGGAGGAGGAGAGGGCAGGGCTTCCCAGAGCGACTGGGAAGGCACTCCCGCTACAGGGCCCCACGGGAGCCTCCGGCTTTCCCCGCACCCAACTCTCCTCAGGCACTTGGTTTTCTGCCAGTCTCTGGAGAGTAGGCTTTGCTTAGGGCCAGTGGAAAAGTTCCTGTTTCCCACTATGCAGCCAAGTGAGCCAGGGCAGGCCAGCGGGTAGAGGAAGGGGATAGGCATGACCTCTCCTGAACGGGTTTCAAAAGCAAGTCAGTCAATCATAGGCCAGAGGCGTGGAAACTTCTTGGCAGAAACATTTCCTCTTCCAGGAAACGGCACTTGGTGTTCTCAGGGTGCCCGGGGCTAGGGTGCCAGCATGCTGCCTGGGGGTGGGGGTGGAGAGGGTTTGGAGTTGAGGTAACCACAGAGCCTTCCTGAACCAGAAGCCCTTGTGGGCCTCGGAGGCTGGCGGGGCCCCTACATAGCACCTGCAGAGGGCAGGGGTATGCGTCAGGAACTGAAGGGGGAGTTTGTGCGGGATGCAGAGGAGCCCCAAGCAGGGAGCTGTGGGGGTCTCTGCGGCTCCAGGGAGTGATGATATTCGGGGAGCCCCTAGGAACTTGCTGATCAGGGAGGCAGGAGAGAAGCCAGGAGAGGGGCACAGTGAGTGAGCCTCAGGGAGGGCAGGGCACAGCCCCATCCACCCCAGTGTGGGGTGGCACAAACAGCTGAGGCTCCGGAGCTGTAGCATTGACAACTCAATCTATTTGAGGCCACACTAAAAACCCCAAACACCCAAATTCTCAAAAACGATCTTCAAGAGTGACGCTAAATGCCAACTGTCCCTGCTGCAGCAGTCTCAGGCTGCCACCTCCCCTGGCTGTCTGCAAGGGTCTCACGCTCCGTCACAATCGGAGTGAGCTGGGCCCTGGGCTCCATGCAAAATGCAGGGGAAGTGGCCAAGGCTAGTCATTCTCAATGCAGTCAAAATGGTCATTGTTACGGAAGTGTCCTGAGAGTCACAATTCCGCACAGTCAGCAGGTACACACCTGTGCATGGGGCTGCTCACCCATCGGGGCACCATAATGTCTGTTTGCTGCCCGGCAGGCTCTGGAGCCGCTGGTGAGCGCACAGACACAGCCCCTCTCCGGGGCAGGCACTCACAGCAGCCACAAGCACCGCCACCTCGTGGCCTGTGAGTCCTCCCCGGAGGCCAAGCTGTGGTTCAGCTGGTTCTGTCTCCTGCAGGAGCACCCTGGCTGGCTCAGGACTTCCTAGCCGGGGACACATGCCCGTGACGTAGGGCCTGGGTCAGCCCCTGGGTCGGGGCGCTAATGCTCTGGACCCACTGAGCCCCCAGCTGTGGAGGTCTTCACTGTCTCCTGACGGATGTTCTCACAGCAGAGGCCACAACATTGGAGGACAGAGGAGCTTTACAGGCCAGCAGGAGTTGCTCATAGCTGCGTCACCAAACCCTTGACCATGAGAAGAAAGTATGGGGGGCTTGCCATGGATGGGATGGGGACTGCAGAGAGGCTGGCTCAGCTGTGCAGATCGGTCCCCATTAGGGTCAAAATTGCAGGCTCCCTGGGCCCACGCCCAGGAGCACACACCTGGCCCTCATGAGGCCAGCATCAATGGTCAAGATGGGCCAGGAGTGGTCTGTGGGCTATCTCCTCAGGATTTTTAAAGGTTCCCTACATTATTTTTTTATTTTTATTTATTTAACATTATTATTATTATTTTGAGATGGAGTCTTGCTTTGTCACCCAGGCTGGAGGCACGATCTCAGCTCACTGCAACCTCCACCTCCCGGGTTCAAGCGATTCTCCTGCCTCAGCCTCCCGAGTCGCTGGGACTACAGGCATGCACCACCATGCCTGGCTAATTTTTGTATTTTTAAAAAAGATGGGGGTTTCACCATGCTGGCCAGGCTGGTCTCGAACTCCAGACCTTGTGACCGCCTGCCTCAGCCTCCCAAAGTGGGATTACAGGCGTGATTACAGGCGTGAGCCACCGTGCCCAGCTACATTATTTTTTAAGTTTAGAAATAACGTAGAATTTATGTAACGTGGAATAACAACAAAGACATGTCAGCTAGTCTTGATTTAGTGAATAAAATAGAGAATCGCATCTCACCGAACACGTATTGACTTAACTAAAGGTTTAAGACTTCACAGACACAGGAGGATGACAGGAGCGTGTGAACAGATGGGCTCGAACAGACGCTGAGCTGCAAGCAGACACCACAGCACCAAGAGATGGGGAAGCACTGCAAACTGGGAGAGAAAATGCCGTTGTGTTACGAGATCTTCGGGCTGTCGTTTTTCTGGCCAAAACCTCTGTGGCTGGGGCATCTTTGCTCAGGCCTGCTGGGCTCATCTCACCCACTTGGCCTGGCAGGCTGCACTGGGCTCACACTACAGGCCTGGGTCCCATGCCTACCAAGGGCGAGTCAGGCGTGGAATGGCAGGGCGTGTTTGAGCGTGCGTGGGGTCTGGCCACTGCACACAGTCAGACATGCCAGCTGCTTCAGCAGGGCAAGCAGCTATAGGTGCCGGCTCCCTGTGAGGCTTCGGCCAGACCAAGCACACTGCAAGCAGCTTCCACAGCTGGCACTGGGGAACACGGTGGCACCCAAAAGTTTAGAGACACCAGGAACCACAGGGCCCCAAAGAAGGAATCACAGCCCTGGCTTGGGGAGCTCCCAGGTCTGGGTTCCCCAAAGGGCTGCAGCTCTTCTCTCCTTCACTTCACCTGTAATGTGGCAAGCAAAGGGTACATCTCAGCCCTGTTTATGCTACAGCTCTTTTAGCCTCGCCATTTGGCAGGTCCTGAGTTCTTGTCCAAGAAGAATGAGGTAAGCAGACAAGTGGAGAGTGAGCCAGATGAAGAGGAGCTTTATTGAGTGACAGAACAGCTCTGAGGAAACCCACAGGGGGGCAGCTCCTTTCTGCAGCCAGGGTGTCCCAACGTCTGTTCAGCTCCTAGCAGAAAGGGTTAGGCAAGTCGTCCCAACAAGTGTTCAGCTATCAGTAGAGAGGGTAGCTCCTCTCTGCAGCTGGTTGTCCCATCATCTCCCTGTCATCTTTCCATCATCTCTGCAGCTTTCAGCAAAGAGGGGGCCCTAGAGTGGGTTGCTCCTGTCTGCAGGTGGTCATCCCAACATTTGCCCAGCTCTGGCTGAGCCTGGGGCTTTTATGGGCCTCAAAGGGGAGGAAGTGCATGCTGTGCCAACTGGTCCAAGGGTGGCCATGGGCAGGCCCGAAAAAGGCACCATAAGTTCCCACTCCAGTCCACAGGACTGGCAGCCTGGCCCCCAGCCTTCAAGCCCTTCTTGGCCTGAAGGTGGGGCCTCACCAAGAACCTGCCCCCTTCCACCCAGGAACCTGTCTGCCTCCTGCTGCCATTCATGGTGCCCGGGCTGTAGGTGTCAAGGGTGCCTGCAGGCCAGCAGCAAGCTGCCGTCAGCCCCCACTTGGCTTTCCTCCTAATGCTTATCAGTGCCCAAAGTCCAGAGGGGGCCGAGGTGGCAAGGGGCTGGCGTGTCAGCATTGCCCCAAGCGTGTGCACACCCAGTCAGGCTATGACAGCACCTGAACGTAGCTCCAACTTTGCTCCAAAGACAGCCCGCTGCTGCCATCAGCAGGACCAATCAGTCCCCTACCCACCAGAGGCAAGGAACTAGCAGGCACTGCTGTGCCAGGCCTGTGAGGCAGCAGGGTCGTGAGTCCAGGCTGGATTCCATGCAGAGACTCTGCCATGTGGGGCCATGGGGTTTACTTGGATCCCATTCAAATCATTCAGGCCCTGACTGCTCAGCTTCAGGGGAGCCAGGCCCGCTCCTTCTCCTTACATACTTGTCTAATCTTGCCAAAGCTCTCGAGGTGGGGGAAGGAGGAAACCCAGGGTCACGGATGTCGATCTACTCAGCATCCATCCCCTTCTTCATTCCCGACAGTTCAGGTCTCCTTGCCTCTTCCCACAGCCACGATGATGGGAGGGCAGGAGCAGGGACTAGGGATTGACCTCAGTTGACAGAAGCCAATGTGTACATGCCATTCCCTGGCCAGTCACTAGTCTGGGTGGGCATGTGACCTCAGCAGTCCACACAGGGTGGGTCCCGGGGCTCTGCAGAGAGGGCTGGGAGCAACAGCATCCCCTGGTGTGGCCCTGGCTGCTATGGTGGCATCCCATGGCCACAGAGACGCCAGAGAACCAACGCCCCGGGGCGGAAGCCGGGTGCTGGGGCCTCTTGTTCGCTGCTGAAAGCATCTGGGCTGATTCACACGACCCCCTCCGATCCTGGAGAAACAGACCTTGGCAGAGGGAGCAGGAAGAATCGCTGAAAGGTGGTGGAAACAGATACATTCCTGAAAGCTCAGGCGGGGGGCTGGTTTCCAGAAGGGATCATTGAAAGTGCCAATGCTTACAAAAACCTACACGCAAGAGAGTGACAGCAGGAGCCAGGCGAAGGATGATGTCAAATAAAAGGACAGGCTGTCAGCAAGAGACTGCCGTGCCCAGTGACTTCACCCTAGTGCTGTGAATTTCACTAAGCTCAGAACTACTGTCTTGGTCCGAGCCCAAGTTCATATTTGTGCTATTTGTTTAAAAATGTAAAAAAGGATTGTGAGCAAATGTCTAGCAAAAACAGCAGTGCAAGAAGACATGCAACCCGCCTAAGACAACACATGGCTTCAAAGGCTTGGCAGGCACCCTCACAGGGACACAGGTGCAGCTCATTACAGGCCACCATTTAAGTTATTTAAGTCCTAAAGACTGCATCTGAGGAACACTGGGTTTCTAATCCTTTCTTTGAGTACTTCAGTGCAGAGCTAGTCTATTAGTGGCTTTACAATTCAGGATTTTTGTGGGTTTTTGCGAGATAAGGTCTGGTGCTGTTGCCCAGGCTGGAGTGCAGTGGCACGACCTTGGGTCACTGCAACCTCCACCTCCTGGGCTCGAGTGATCCTACCATCTCAGCCTCCCAAGTATCTGGGACTACAGGCATGCACCACCATGCCAGCTAATTTTTGTATTTTTGGTATAGATGGAGTTTTGCCATGTTGGCCAGGCTGGTCTTAAACTCCTGAGGTCAAGTGATCCACCTGCCTTGGCCTCCCAAAGTGTTGGGATTACAGGCTTAAGCCACTATGCCCGGCCACGATTCAGTCTTATTAAATCAACCAGTTGTCTGTGATGTGGCCCAAAGGTCAGGCTTTTCCTTTCCCGTGCTGAGAGCTGCCCTGTGTCTGGGCATCTTCCTCACCAGATAAGGAGTGGCTCGGGCGCCGCTGGGCCTTTTGCAACCTGCAGCACAGCCCTGGTGGTGGTGGTGGGCCCGGAGTAGGCAGCGAGCCTGCTACTCACCCACCAGGATAGGCACTGGACAGGCCCTGTGGAGTGGCAGGCACCCCTGTCCAGTGTTCAGCCTCTTCCTCTGCAGGGGCTGTCCCTGCCTGTCAGACAGTGAGTCCAGGGATGCCCTGGACCACCACATCCTCGACAGCCCTCAGCTCAAGGGCATATCCGCTGGCTTCTCCCGCCAGGAAGGACAGTGAGGGCTTGGTGGGGCTCAGATGGAGGCTAGCATTCTTTTTAACTAATGAGCGCTTAATTGAAGCAAGTACTGGCACCGAAATAACATTTAAAAAGTGTTCTCTTCGGTGGCTCACACCTGTAATCCCAGCACTTTGGGAGGCCTAGGCAGGCGGATCACCTGAGGTCAGGGGTTCAAGACCAGCCTGGCCAATATGGTGAAACCCCCCGTCTCTACTAAAAATATAAAACTTAGCTGGGTGTGGTGGCACACGCCTGTAATCCCAGATACTTGGGAGGCTGAGGCAGGAGAACTGCTTGAACCCAGGAGGCGGAGGTTGCAGTGAGCCGAGATTGTGCCACTGTACTTCAGCCTGGGGACAGAGCAAGACTCTGTTTAAAAAAAAAAAAAAAAAAGAGTTAGCTTAACATATTTGATTAAAGCATCATTTTAGAAATGTGAACCGTGTGCTCGCTCAGTGTCTCCTTAGGCTGCAGCTAGCAAGGTTGTGCAGGTGACTCAGGACAGCTCCATCAAAGCTTTGGGAAGCTGTCAGAGGGAAGTCTGAACTGAGAGAGAACGACTCAAAGACGCCTCAGAGAGCCTGAGTGGGCAGCTCCTGCCCGCAACCCCACACCTGGGGCACAGCCCTCTCTGTTGGCTCACACCAAGGTGGCGTTGGCGTCGCGTGAAGAGGCCCGGGGCAGCCCACTCCCTTCCAAGCTCCCCCTAAACTTTGCTTCTTTATGGGTCTAACACCCCCCGCTCAGTGACTGGATCCAGAGACGGCATCGCCGGCGGGCAGCGTGGGTCCATGGCAGGCCCCAGGAAGGCTGGTGCAGGGCTGACATGGTCCAGCACATGCCCAGCACACGACGGGCATGGCCCATGCCAAGGTCCAATGTGACATGACAGAGAACCGGCCACAGAGTCCCGCCTCAGGCACTAAGCCTGTTTAACGACAACCCCCAGAAAAATGGCTTCAGACAGTGGCAACATTTATTTTGCTCACACATCTGTATCTGGAGCGGGGCTCACAGGGGCGGCTGGGCTCTGCTCTGCTCTGCTCATCAGTTGGGGTGGCTCGAGGCACCTGTAGGCTCACTTGTGTGTAGCTGGTGGTCAACGCGGCTGGCAGACAGCACACCTGCATGGCCTATCCCCGCGGCCTGGGCTTCCTTCCAACATGGCACCCGGGCCAAGCCTGAGCCCCCTCAACCCGTCAGTCACATGGCAATTACCGCCCCAGCAGGCCACATAAACCTCCCCAGGGTCAAGAGAGGGGGATCCCCTGGATAGGCAAAATTCCAGAGGGGGACAGGGGACTGGAGATGTCATTCCTGCCATAAGACCCTGGACACTGCCCGAGAGAATCCTTCCATACAGAGAATCAGGAATCAGAACAGCTTTACGTTGCTCAAGGTAAAAGGCAGTGCCTTCAACTCTGAGTAAAAACCATTTCCAAACCCGACTGTTCCCCCTTCCTCATTCCCGTTTCTGTTGAACTCTCACACCATGCACAGAGCTCTGTGTGCACTCTGGAGCGCAGGGCAAAGGCCTCCCCGCCCACCCTGAGTTTGGCAGCTGCCAGAGGGCAGGAAAGGAGAAAACAGGGGATGGGGAACCTGCAGCCTCTTCCCTCCTTCTACCAGGTACAGAGCCACCGGGGAGAGGCAGGAAACATTTTCAACTCAAGGCCTGCCCTGGCTCACACACTCTCCCGCCCAAGCCACTGTCCAGGTATAAGGCAGAGTTTGGCAGCAGGAGCAGGAGTGGGCACGAGCCCTGCACCCCAAGGGTATAGGACCCACCTGCGACGGAGGCTGGGCCAGGAGCACGCCAAGGAGCCGGAAGCAAGCAGCAGTAGCCCTCTGCCAGGGAGGGCAGGAGCAGACACCAGGCACAGCACAGCATCCAAGGCCTGCTGGCATCTAAGAAGGGGCGGGGCCACTCTGGCACCCACACCATGCACAGGCTGGCTATGGCCACTGCTGGAAGAATCGGAAGCCTGTGGTGCCTGCAGGGATGAAGGCAGCCCCAAGCCCACAGCCCGCTCACCTGGTGACCACACCCACCCAGGGCCTGTCTGAAGGGGAGTGCCTGTTTCTGGGCATGAGGACTATTTATCTTGGTCTCCACTGTTCTACAAAAAAACCCCGGCATTCAATAAACTATGAGAGAAACAACAGGCAATCCACTGCCACGAAATAAAGCTATTGACAGAAGTAGACCCAAGCATGTCCTGTGCCAACTGTCACATAGCCACACCCCCACGACACGACCAGCAGCTCACCCCGTTGCCCTCCACAGGGGTGTCCACGCCGCTTCTGTAACCCCTGCCGCCACAGGCGAGGCTGCAGTGAGTGTGTTCCCCTCCATGCAGGTGTCCACGCTTCTTCTGTAACCCCTGCCGCCACAGGCGAGGCTGCAGTGAGCGTCTCTGCACAGGTCTGTGCTACCCACGATGTTTCAGCCAACAACGGACTGAGCAGACCAAGGAGGTCCCGTGAGGTTACAACAGGAGCTGAGAAGTCCCTGTCCTCATAACATGTAGCACAGTGTATCTCCCGTGTTTGTGGTGCTGCCAGTGCACGTAAGTACATACGGTAACATCCTAGGCTTCCATGCTCACTCGCCCTCACTCCCTGAGGCATCCGAGCAGCTCCTGGTAAGTGCCCGGTGCTATTTTTAACACTTTAGACTGTATTTTTACTGTACCTTTGTTTAGCATTTTTTTTTCAGAGGGGGTCTGGCTCTGTCGCCCAGGCTGGCATGCAGTGGTGTAATCACAGCTCACTGAAACCTTTCCCTCCTGAGTCCAAGACATCTTCCCACCTCAGCCTCTGAGTAGCTGGGGCTACAGGCATGAGCCACCATGCTTGGCTAATTTTTACATTTTTTTGTAGAGATGAAGTCTTACTCTATTGCCCAGGCCGCTCTTGAGCTCCTCAGCGTAAGTGATCTGCCTGCCCCAGCATCCCAGAGTGCTGGGATTACACGCGTGAGCCACAGTACCCGGCCAATTTAGCTGTTTAGACACACAAATCCTTACATTATGTTACGATTGCCCAGGGTAGTCAGCAGGGTCACGTGCCGCACAGGCCCATGGCTGGGAGCAATGGGCTAAGCCGCACAGGCTGGGTGTACAGTGAGCTGTGTGAGTGCGCTGTGATGTTCCTACGGGATGGAGTCCCCTACAGAGGCATTTCTCAGAGCACAGCCCATTGTTAAGTGACACATGACTGTCCTGTCAGGTTCATTCCAGAATGGCTGGCCCCGTGATATTCCCGCCAGCACCACGCAAGTTCCCGTTTCTGCAGATCCCCAATCCCAGCTTCCTCATTGCGGCCGGCAGACGGGGCGGCACGCCCCCGGGCTCCAGCTCACACTCCCTGGGCGTGGCGAGGCCGTGCAGTCTTCACGTGCTGCTTGGTCATCTGGTCTCCTTTCAATGAACTATTAATATCCGCTGTCATGGTTCTAGAGACTTCTAGTTGGTTACCTGCTGAGTTGCAGGAATCCCCCTAACACTGGCTCCTTGCCGGCTTTATCCATTAAAAAGAAGGAACGAGGAAAGTGCTCCTCTCAGTCACTACCTGTTAATGGTCCTCTGTGTCCTCCAATGCACAGAAAAACTGAATTTTGATCTGGCCAAATCACCCATATTTTGCCTTAGGATTTATGCCTTCGAGGTCTCAAAATAAGGGCTTCTTCCCCAAGGGAACAAAGATAAGCTCCCGTATCATCTTCCAGTGGCTCACGGCCATGCCCAGAACCCATGGCGCCTGCCTCTGCTCTCCCCTCTCCTCTTCACTGCTGTCTCCCAGGCCATCAGTCCCTCCCGGCTGCCCAGCCCCATGTCCTCCTGCCATCTACCCTCCCACAGCAACCCACACTCTCACGGCTTCTGCTGCGGGAAGCGCTCCTTCCTGGGATTCCCTGGCACAGTTCAGATGAGTATTTCTCCACCTTCGCTGGCTGCTCTCCTCTAGCTCCACGGTCTCTATGACCCAGGTCTACACTAACACACAAGACAATGTAAACTGTTAAGGGTTTCACAACTTATTTCTGACATGGATTGCTGTGTTAAGATAATATGAAAGAAAACTCAGTGAATATAAAGTAAAATATTTTAAAATATAACTGATTTTTCTACAGGCCATTTTCTAAAAATGTCTAAGCAACTAAAGCTGTCATTAAAATGTCTCTTTTCTTTCTTTTTTTTTTTTTTTTTGAGACGGAGTCTCGCTCTGTCGCCCAGGCTGGAGTGCAGTGGTGTGAACTTGGCTCACCACAACTTCGGTCTCACGGGTTCGTGGAATTCTCCTGCCTCAGCCTCCCGGGTAGCCGGGACTACAGGCATGCACCACCATGCCCGGCTAATTTTTTATATTTTTAGTAGAGACGGGGTTTCACCATACTGGCCAGGCTGGTCTGGAACTCCTGACCTTGTGATCTACTGGCCTCGGCCTCCCAAAGTGCTGGGATTACAGGTGTGAGCCACTGCGCCCAGCCTAAAATGTTTCTTTTGAAAGATGCTGGAATAAAAGAATTCCTTATTTATTTATTTATTTATTTATTTTGGGACAGAGCCTTGCTCTGTCGCCCAGACTGCAGTGAAGTGGCGTGGTCTCGGCTCACTATAATCTCCGCCTCCTGGGTTCAAGCGATTCTCCTGCCTGAGCTTCCCGAATAGCTGGGATTTCAGGCACCCACCACCATGCCCGACTAATTTTTTTATTTTTAGTAGAGACCAGGTTTCTCCGTGATGGCCAGGCTGGTCTCAAACTCCTGACCTCAGGTGATC